>NC_000002.12:194762345-195065375 GCF_000001405.40 Homo sapiens
CAAAGTGCTGGGATTACAGGCGTGAGCCACCGCGCCCAGCAGTGACCACTTTTATCTATACCAAACAAAAATATTATAAATAAAATATATTAAAAATAAAAACACATTCTAACACAAAGAAAAAACTCTCTAGATGAGAAATAGAATAGGAAACTAAGAGGTGACTAGTGACTTATGTGGTAAGGCTGTAACAGAAGAATCTAAGCATCAAAATTAGTAGTGAAGTCCAGCATTTGCTCCTGTATGAAAATGAAACTGATTACAGTCCACATAAGATGAGGGACTAGAACCAAGTCCCCTATATAAAGCTAGGAATTAGCACCCTTCTCACCCTCATACTGGGGCTCAGGACACTTTGAAGTAGGGCACTTTTACAGGCTGAGTACTTTGAACTAAAGAAGTAGCTTCAGAACCAAGGTCTCTCTGACCTTGCCCCACTCCCCTTTCTGTCAATCCTATTTCTCTCCCAGACAGGGGAGGAGCTTTCTCTGAAGTTTCCCTTATCTGATTAAGGGAAGTTCCTACAAAAGGAATGCAATTGTTGTCAAGTCCTTTCTAGAATCTACATTAAGTGAAGAAGATTAACTCAGCAAGATAAGACACCAAGATCTCCATCCATCCATGCCCAGGACACCATGCCCATGCAGACTTTTTTTTTTTTTTTGAGGAACAGAGCCTCACTCTCTCCCCCAGGCTGGATTGCAATGGCATGATCTCGGCTCGCTGTAACCTCCGCCTCCCAGGTTCAGTGATTCTCCTGTCTCAGCCTCCCAAGTAGCTGGGATTACAGGTGCATGCCACCACACCCAGCTAATTTTTATATTTGTTAGTAGAGACAGAGTTTCACTACATGTTGGACAGGCTGGTCTCAAACTCTTGACCTCAGGTGATCCACCCACTTTGGCCTCCCAAAGTGCTGCAATTACAGGTGTGAGCCACCATGCCCAGCTAGACTTTTTTTTACCTAATTCTTCTGAGGGTTGCTATTCAGAAAAGACTTTATCTGCGTAACAAGGTAACTTTTGTTCCCACTATAGTTCTTCCCCTCATCCTCCCAGAACTTTTGTCACCTCCCCCTGCTGAGAAGACCGTATTTCTTTCTGCAGCTCAAAATGCTATTCAAGCTTTTAACCATTTGGTCTTTCTTTGAGTCTCATATTTTGTAGGACTACTATGCATGTAATACGTTTGTAATCCTTTTCTCTTGTTAATCTGTCTTCTGTCATAGTTATTCCAGAGACTCAAATTATCAAACCTTCAGACAATAGAGGGAAAGCGTAAAGTCCCCTACACTCTCATCAATGAATATAGGAAAACTACTAACTACTTACTCAGTGTACTCTTGGCAGAAACAGTAACTGGGAACTGAGAAATGGATTGTTGTGTATGTGAAGTTGATGGTATTGTAGCGGAATATTATGATGGAGTGAAGGTCTGAGCTACTAATATAAGACATATCTTTGAAATCTGGATGTATCTGAATGAGATAATCATGGACCCACGGAACAAGAGGGAGAAAAGATATGAAAATAAAAGTTATCTCAAGAGATGTTCTCTCAAATCCCATTCCCACAATGAATAAAGAAACCTGATACTAATACACTCATTCAGTAAACCTGAAAGATGGAAGAATGTATGCCCAAAGAACTAGAAATAATACACCAATCTGAAACTGCATTAAAATACAATTTGAAGTCCTCAAAGATGTAGAGTAGATATGAGCATCAACAAAATGAAATCCATACAACAGACAAGGAATATCAGCAGGTGAGAATCAAGTATAGGTATGACAAGAAACCAACTGGAATTCAAGAAAAAGGAAACCATAGTGCTTAAAATGAAAATTTAAAAACACTAAATAAATGGAGGTAAACAGATTGAACAAAGGCAGAATGAATTAAAGATTTGAGTATCAGAGCATACATACAGCTTTGATATGAAATGAAAGGTTAACAAATGGGGCTTTACAAGAATAGAATGCATGTTACTTTGTGTTGAATTGAAGGGTAAGTCTGTCCAATTGAGAAAGAAGCAGAGAGAGAATGCAAATCTGTGTCACTGCCTTGAAGAGATTTTTATGTTCATTTTGTTAAACTGCTTCCCATAAAGTGGTCCCACGATATTCCAGTGTGGAAGTAAATGAAGACCAACCAAATGAGAACAAGCAAAGGATATTTATTAGAGCTTACTGCAGCAAGGGAATCAGCCACCACCACTTGTGTTTTGGCAGAGACTCAAAGGTTGGCAGAGAGAATATGAAAGCTTTATATTGGGGGGGGAAAAAAAAACAAGAGGGCTTCAGGTGTACTCTCATTGGAGGCTGTTGGCATGGAGAAACTGTAAGTACATTAACTACAAGTGGGACACCTTGTGATTGACTAGGAGTGCATCCTTGCTTTCTCCAGTTGGTCCTAAGTTAGAAGCAGAGACAAAAATTAGGGAAGCTGTCAGTTTTTAATCAAGTCCTGGCCACTTTAGGGCAATTATTACAGGAGTTATTGTTTGGCTACCTGGAAAGTTGGTAGAGATACCAGTCTGACTTCCTACAGGTCTTAGTTGGAGCAGGCTGGCCTCCTGGGCTGGTTGCTATAGATAAGGGATTGGTTTCCTGGTCAGGTTGCTGCAGGTTGCGAGTTCTGTTCTTATATATGGTCTGGCCATTGTCCATTTGCACAGTGTCTCTCACTAGAAAAGTTTTGCAGCAGAAACTGAAGAATTACTTTCTTTTTTATTTTGATACGATATTAATGCTAAGCTATCAGTACAATGGTGTAGGTAGGCTGCCAATTATGGATGCTCACTGTATCTCACAATCTAGGAAAAATTATACAGTTCAAAATTTGTTCAAAATGTTTTACGATTTTTTGTAAAACATCTCTGATTATAGCACTTGTTTCTTCATTCGTACTTTCTCCTAAGAAGAATCAACTGCAGGCCATCAGTTTATGCTGAGGTATCAGTTAAGTGATGGAATAATTAGTGAGAACCATCCCATCTTTATAACAAAAAGTATTTGTAAGTTAGCATTTTATAAAATAGTTACTTAAGAGAGTAATGTATGTCACTCATATACAGCTGAGTCCGAAAGAATCCTAATTGCTCTCTGGCAATTATGATAATTTTCCTGGCAGGAAAATCCAAGAGGAGTATCTGCGAACATAAATCTCCAATGAGAGAATACACCCTCATGTTCAACACCTTTTAACAATATAGCATATGAAGGTGAGTTGCCCCATGAACTTTCTGTCTCAGTCAAAATGAGAGGGCATCTCCCCATTTCTTTCACAGTGAGTGGAGTGGGTGATATTACCAGGATCAGAAGTCTCTAATTGCACGCCCTATTTTCTACAACCTTTATTTTAGGATTCTGATTTCTAGCCTCTTGACAAAATAGAGCTTCCAGCTCCCCTCGTAAGTGCCTTTATGAACACATTTGGCTGCTTGTCTTTAGAATATCCTTAATCCCAGCAGGAATGCTTTTAAATGTATTCCCAGAGCAGGTGCCCTCTATTTCTCTCCTCTCGACTGCCATCATCCCCATCCTCCATCCCTTCTGCCTCTTCAGTTCATAGCAGAAGCTGCAGGCACAAGCAGCATGCCCTGGCTCCAGTCCTAGCTGGAGCTGCCTTGGCAGTAAGCACACCAATATCCACCAAATAGCATGTCTTACATTCAAACTGTGGAGGAGGAGATTGTAATGAATTAAATCAAAATTTAAAGTTAACATAGGCGATTATATGTAAAGGTAACTCAAAATACAAGGACCTAGGTAAAGGAACTATTGAGTCACCTAAATATTTATTGACTGAAAGTCCCACTCTGTGCCTCATAGTCATGCAGATGCTTAAATTATTGTCTGCTATTTCTTACATCTTGTGTCTTCTTAAATTTGCAGTTTTGGAGGAAAACTGTCCAACTTTTGAAATATTTTGGGTTACTTTTTGCAGACTTCAATGAGATAGGATTCTATCATTAGTCTCTTAGAAAGGAAATATAAGATGAATAATCTGCCTATGGCAAATAACCCAGGACCATACAGAATCAAACAGGCACCCTGCCAAATTGCAAATGGCCCAAATTTCAAAATCACATTAAATAACACTTTATAATGAGAATGGGCAATGAATCACAAAATCACATTATATAATGGGAATGGGCAATGAATGAGGAGCTAAGAGTAAGAAAAGTAGATTCTGAATTCCCTGATCCCTCCCAGGCATTTTTTCAAGGATAGATTTTCCTTAGAATTGTGAGGAATGAAGTCTGGGTGCTTGTGGACAGATCATCTGTGTTTACCAGAACAGCCTATTATTTCCTTTTGTTTCAATACAAAGTCTAGAGAAATGCCATTAGTAAGTGATTTAAGGAGGGAGGAAGAGACAAAATCTTCAATATTCAAGTCTAACTTGAATATTGCTACAATTTGACTTAATTTCAAACTTTTTTCTTTTTACTTCCTCACTGTCACTTAGGAAGAGTTAAACAGCAACTAACAAGCATTACTTTAAAAGGTTTGGTTTGCTTTCCAGATAAATCCAAAGCTTATAAATAGGAACCTATCTACTGCTCAATTTCGAAGTCGATACCAAGATCCCCGTAATTACAACAGAAAACGGATGGCTAAACTGGTCCAGCTCCCCATAAGGGATCCCTCCCTTCTCTCAGCACCAGGGATGGAGGCAAATAGGCAGGCAATGTACCCAGTGCTTAAAGTATGAAAATATGGTTTAGTCACATCAGCAGAAAAGAAACTTACTCAAGCTCTGAAGAAATGTATTCTTAATATCCAGGAAATATAGTATGTAGATAAGAGATCACAGTGTGTTCTGTTTCCTTTTCTTATTTTCAAAGTGGGAATTTTTATAATGGCTATCTTGTTTGCCTTTCACCATTATAAACAGGGTCATAACTAGAGAATGACTATTTAGATCCTATGTTGGGACATTAAGAAGAGTCACACCCCAAAACAATTAAGTTTGAAATCCATGAGAAAACCTGGACTTGGAAATGAATGCAGTAGATGAATTTAACACTGGTTTTGGTTTTGGTTTCTTTTTGTTGTTGCTGTTGTTGTTCTATGAGTAAACTGGTTTGTTCACTCATAGAACAAGAGATATAATTGCATTAGGTTTATTTAGAGCATTTTTGCCACTGCAAGACTGGCAGAAAAATAGGTAAATGTGCTACAACTAATAAAAGAACAGAATTTTGTAGGAACAAAGAGCTGTAGTATTTTTCTTTTTGGCTTGCATAAACTACCAAATCCATGTTTTGCTTTAAGTTAATCTGTGTTTTATATTTGCAATTGAAACAGTCATGGTTAATAAGGGAAAAGGTATAAGAAATGGGATTGTTGGTGGTAAAATTTCATGCATAACTCCTAGTAGCTTTTTTCTCCTCTTTCCTACATCTGATTAATGTCTGGTCTTTCTTGCAACTTTTCTTCTCTTTCTCTGAATTTTTTCAGATTCCTTTCCCAGATTTCTCCCACAGGGTCAATCTCCCAAGGCAGTTATGTGAAGGAAAGTTTATTGGAAGTTTTGTGATAAAGTGATAAGCATTTAAAGCTTATAATTTTCCTCTAAGCACTGCTTAGGTGCAATGCACAAATTTTGATATGTTGTGTTTTTATTTTTATTTACTTTAAAATATTTTCTAATTTCCTTGCTTGTATTAATGGGTTAATTAGAAGATGGTTGTCTAATTTTCAAATATCTGAACACTTTTCATGAACTTTCAGTTATTGTTTTCTGTATTTCTTCTGTTTTGGTAAGAGAAGGTACTCTGTATGATTTCCATTTAATTTATTAAAAGGAACTGCTTTAAGACCCAGAATATGGTCAGTATTTGTGAATACTTCATGTGAACTTTCTGTGTGAACTGTCTTACAGTTGTTGGTTAAAAGAATTTTTAGTTGTTTGTTTAGCCAAAATAATTTTGGACAAGTAGAAGAAAATTGAAGTACTTAATACTACCAGCTTTCAAGGTTTTTATAAAGCTACAATAACTAGAACACCTTCCTTTCGATTTGTGACAATCAAATATATCTCCAGACATTGCCAAAACTTACAGGATACAAAATTAAAACTGGTTTAAAACCACTGATTTACCTACACCTTTCCTTTTTCTTATTTAGAACTTATATACTGTATCTTTTACCAAAAATTTATTTTACTTGTTTTTAATTTTGTTTGTATCTGTTCATGTAACATAATGATAATTTTGTTCTTTTAATTTGTATTACTGATATTTTTGAATGTATCATTTTTATATTATTTTCTATGATATTCTTGACTCTTTTTTTGTTATTTCTTTCCTCTTTTACCTGATTAATCAATTTTTAAAAATCTCTTTATTCAAGTCACTGATTTTCATGACATACATTGCATTTTTACCATGCCTAGATACTTGATTTACCAATGCTTAAAGCTAATTATTATCTCTAATCTCTCCTCCAAGAATACAAGCAAGCATTTCAAGATATTTGAGATCAGATCCACCCACGCATTTTACTTGTGTAATTTGGATTTTAATGCTTCTTGCAATAAGTAGAATAAGCCCCTCTTCTCCCAAAGATGTTCATATATTCTAATTCCCAGAACCTGTGAATATGTTAGCTTACATGGCCAACAGCCCTTTGTAGATGTTATTAGGGATCTTGAGAAGATGAGATAATCCTGGATTGTCTGAGTGAGCCCAATGTAATCACAAAGATTCTTACAAGTGAGAGAGGATGGCAGGAGAGTGAGATGAGTTGTAATGATGAAACAGAGATGGGAGTGATGGGATTGCTGGAAGAAGAGCAGGAGTCAAGAAATGTAGGCCACCTCTAGAAGAAGAAAGGAAGTAAATTATTCCTTAGAGCCTGCAGATGCAAGCCCTACTGATGATGTCATCCCAGTAACACCCATTTCAAATATCTGACCTGCAGTCCCTTCTTAAAACAAGTTATCCATTTGAAAACTGCTGATGTCTTTGAGATATCATTTCCATAATATGTTTTTCCATAGGTTATTAGTGAACAGGTGGGGTTTCATTACATGAATAAGTTGTTTAGTGGTGATTTGTGAGATTTTGGTACTCCCATCACCAGAGCAGTACACACTGCACCCAATTTGTAGTCTTTTATCTCTCACCCGCTTCCCACCCTTTCCCCAAGTCCCAAAGTCCATTGTATCATCCTTATGCCTTTGCATCCTCATGGCTTAGCTTCCACTTATGAGTGAGAACACGATATTTGGTTTTCCATTCCTGAGTTACTTCACTTAGAATAATAGTCTCCAATCTCAGCCAGACTGCTGCAAATCATTCCTCTTTATGGCTGAGTATTATTGTATCATATGTATTTACCACAACTTCTTTATCCACTAGTGGAATGATGGGCATTTGGGTTGGTTCCACATTTTTGAAACTGCTAAATGTGCTGCTATAAACATGTGTGTGAAAGTATCTGTTTCATATAATAACTTCTTTTCCTCTGGGTAGATACCCAGTAGTGGGACTGCTGGATCAAATGATAGTTCTATTTTTAATTCTTTAAGTAATCTCCACACTGTTTTCCATAGTGGTTGTACTAGTTTACATTCCCACGAGCAGTGTAGAAGTGTTCCCTGTTCATCACATCCACACCAACATCTGTTTTTTTTTTATTATTAGTATTTTCTGATTATGGCCATTCTTGCAGGAGTAAAGTAGTATCACATTGTGGTTTTTATTTGCATTTCCCTGATCATAAGTGATGTTGAGCATTTTTTCATATGTTTGTAGGCCATTTATATATCTTCTTTTGAGAATTGTCTATTCATGGCCTTAGCTCACTTTTTGATGGGATTGTTTGTTTTCTCTTGCTAATTTGTATGAGTTCATTGTAGATTCTGGATATTAGTCCTTTGTCAGATGTATAGATTGTGAAAATTTTCTCCCACTCTGTGGGTTGTCTGTTTACTCTGCTTACTGTTCCTTTTGCCATGCAAAACTCTAGTTTAATTAAGTCCCAGCTATGTTTCTTTGTTTTTGTTGCATTTGCTTTTGGGTTCTTGGTCATTAAGTCCTTGCCTAAGCCAATGTCTAGAAGGGGTTTTCCAGTGTTTTCTTCTAGAAGTTTTGTAGTTTCAGGTCTTAGATTTAAGTCCTTGATCCATCTTGAGTTGATTTTTGTATAAGGTGAGAGATGAGGATCCAGTTTCATTCTCCTACATGTGGCTTGCCAATTAACCCAGCACCATTTGTTGAATAGAGTGTCTTTTTTCCATTTTATGTTTTTGTTTGCTTTGTCGAAGATCAGTTGGCTATAAGTATTTGGTTTTACATCTTGATTCTGGATTCTGTTCCATTGGTCTATGTGCCTGTTTTTATACCAGTATCATGCTGTTTTGATGACTGTGGCCTTATATTAGAGTTCAGAATCAGGTAATGTGATGCCTCCAGATTTGTTCTTCTTGCTGAGTCTTGCTTTGGCTATGCGGGCTCTTTTTTGGTTCCATATGAATTTTAGGATTGTTTTTTCTAGTTCTGTGAAGAATGTTGGTGGCAATATTTTAATGGGAATTGCGTCAAATTTGTAGATTGCTTTTGGCAGTATAGTCATTTTCACAATATTGAGTCTACCCATCCATGAGCATGTGATGTGTTTCTATTTTTTTGTGTCATCTATGATTTCTTTCACCAGTGTTTTGTTGTTTTCATTGTAGAGGTCTTTCACCTCCTTGGTTAGGTATATTCCTAAGTATTCTATTTTTTATTTTTTGCAGCTATTGTAAAAGGGGTTGAGTTCTTTATTGGATTCTCAGCTTGGTCACTGTTTTTGTATAGAAGAGCTACTGATTTGTGTACATTAATCTTGTATCTGGAAACTTTGCTAAATTATTTTATCAGTTCTGGGAGCTTTCTGGAGAGTATTTAGGGTTTTCTCAGTAAACAATCATATCATCAGCAAATGGTGACAGTTTGACTTACTCTTTACCAACTTGGATGCCCTTTATTTCTTTCTCTTGTCTGATTCCTCTAGCTAGGATTTCCAGTACTATGATGAAGAACAGTGGTGAGAGTGGACAACCTTGTCTTGTTCCAATTCTCAGAGGGAATGCTTTCAACTTTTCCCCATTCAGTATTATCTTGGCTGTGGGTTTGTCATAGATGGCTTTTTATTACATTGAGGCATGTCCCTTGAATGCCAATTTTGCTGAGGGTTTTAATTATAAAGTGATGCTGGATTTTGTCAAATGCTTTTTCTGCATCTATTGAGATGATCACGTGATTTTTGTTTTTGATTCTGTTTATGTGGTGTATCACATTTGTTGACTTGTTTATGTTAAACCATCCCTGCATTCCTGGTATGAAACCCACTGGATCATGGTGGATTATCTTTTTGATAGGTTGTTGGATTCGGTTAGCTAGTATTTTGTTAAGGATTTCAGCATCTTGTTCATCAGGGATATTGGTCTGTAGTTTTCTTTTTTGGTTATGTCCTCTCCTGGTTTTGGTCTTAGGGTGATATTGGCTTCATAGAATGATTTAGGAAGGGTTTCCAGTTTCTCTATCTTGTGCAATAGTGTCAATCGGATGGGTACCAATTCTTTTTTCAAAGTCTGGTAGAACTCTGCTGGGAATCTGTCTGGTCCTGGACATTTTTTTCATTGGTAATATTTTAATTACCATTTCAATCTTGCTGCTTGTTATTGCTCTGTTCAGGGTATCTAATTATTCCTAATTTAAGCTAGAAAGGTTGTATCTTTCCACAAATTTATCCATCTCTTCTAGGTTTTCTAGTTTATGCACACAAAGGTGTTCATAGTAGCCTTGAATGATCTTATGTATCTCTGTGTTGTCAGTTGTCATATTTCCCATTTCATATCTAATTGGGTTTATGAAGCTCACAGCAGCAGATCATTCTGATCAATTTGTGAGGAAAAAAATAATCTTGTTCATGCCCTAATTGAAGAAGCCTGAAAATTTGCAGCAGAACCATTAGCTAACACTGTAGACATCTTGATTGGTTCAGTTTACATAATTCTGACTGAAAAATTAAAGTTGAGCAAAATTCCACTGGAAGGATGCCCAAACCATTGTACCCAGATCAGCTGCAGACAAGAGCAGAACTTTTAATGGAAATTTTAAACAAGTGGCATCAATATCCTGAAGCATTTCTTCAAATAATTGTAACAGATGAAACATGGCTTTGTCAGTACCATCCTGAAGACAAAGCACAATGAAAGCAATGGCTACCAAGAAAGGGAAGTGTTCCAGTCAAAGCAAACGTGGATCAGGCAAAGGTCATGGCAACAGTTTATTGGGAAGCTCAGAACATTTTGCTTGTTGAGTTTGATGTTCTTAAAGAATAAGAACATCTGCTTATTATGAAGTGTTGTAAGAAAGTTAGCTAAAGCTTTAGCAGAAGAATGGCCAGGAAGCTTCACCAGCAGGTCCTTCTCCACCGTAACAATGCTCCTGCTCATTTCTCTCATCAAACAAAGGTGATTTTGTGAGAATTTTGATAGGAAATTGTTAGGCATTCACCTTATACCCCTGATTTGTTTCTCTCTAACTTGTTTTTGTTTGCTGACCTTAAAAAGAATCTTTAAAGAGCACCCAATTTTCTTCAGCTAATAATGTAAAAAAAAAAAAAACAAAAAAAAACCCTGCATTTACTTGGTTAAATTCGCAGGCCCTTAGTTCTTTAAGAATAGACTAAATGGCTGTTATAATTACTTACAAAAGTATCTTGAGCCTGATGGAGATTATGCTGAGAAATAAAATTTAGTTTTTAATTTTATCTTTTAATTCCATTTTTCCACAAACTTTTTGAAATCCCCTCATGTGTAAAACCTACAGCAATTATCATACTTAATAGTAATTTAAAAAATCTGACCTCCTGAATTATAATAAATTTATGTTGTTTAAGCTACTAAGATTTTAGTAACTTGTTACAGCAGCCATAGGTAGATAATAAATGACACTGAGTCTATATCAATTCCCATTCCAAACCCAATACTTACCATTTTTACTTTTGTCATTTTAAGTTTAGTGTTGTTCATGCTTACACAATTGTATTTTGCATCACACTGTGACATTTTGGATTCAGTTTCATTTGTCACTAAGAACAGCCTCATGTAGTACTTTGAGTGAAGGTCTTTGTGTGGTGCCATTCTATTCATTTTTTTGTGTAAAATCATATTTATTATGCCTTAAACCCAAGTGAGAGATTTATCTGGGTATAGAATTCTGTTTTCTCCAGTGCTATCAATATATTACTCCTTGTCTTCTTGCCTATAATGTGGCTTTTGGGAGATAATTAGTCATAGTGTAGCTCTTACTTTTGTTCTCCTATAGATTGTTTCTTTCTACCTTTTTTAGTTAATTAGCTACTAATTCAACTATTTCCTTTTATAGTTAATTAGCTACTAGGGAAGCTAATTAACTGTAAAAGTCATTCTCTTATGTAATTTTTTTAAAAAACAGTACTCTTGGAGTAGAATCACTTAACACTGATTTTAAAAATTCTATTGACAGCTAGTGCCTCAGGCACAAGTTTGGGGTTTTTCGTTTGTTTGTTTTTTGTTTTGGCTTCTTTAATTCTTTATTCTTAGCTATAGTACACATTTCCATATTACTGCTTATTTCTAGTGTCATTCTAAACAATTATTGTAGCTCATTTAGTTGGTAAACATATTTTATTCTCTATTTACATCCATAAATTTGAAGCACTAAAATATATAGTGTGTTTTGTCTATAATATTAATTTAGGTATTCTTGAATTTTTTCCTGATTATTCTGGCTAAAAGTTAATAAATTTGACCTTTTCATGTAACTACCTTTTGATTTCACTGATCTGTATTGTTTTTTGTTTTATCTATTTTTACCCTGATCTTTATTATTGTCTTTTTTCCATTTCCTTTGGGTTTAATTTGTTCTATATCTATTTTCTCAAGGTAGACAGTGAGGACTTTCATTTGAAATTGTTCATCTTTTCTAATACAGATGTTTATTGCTACAAATCTTCCATTAATTACTGCTATCTTTTAAATATATTTTCATACCTCTTTCTAACTTTATGAACATGGGGAACACAGTCAAAATTGTTTTAATAGCCTTGGCTGCTAAGGTTGATTTTGTGTCAGTTCTAAGTCAGTTTCAATTGATTAAATTTTCTTCTCATTATGGTGAGAATGCTTGGCAACTTTTGCTACTTTGTATGCTTGGCAATTTTTGATTGAATGTCAGACATGGTAAATTTTAACTTCCTAGCTGCAGAGTATTTCTGTTTCCCTATAAATATTCTTGAGATGTTTTGGGCTGTGGTTAAATTACTTAGGTACAATTTGATTTGTGTGTGGGGATGGGATCTAACTTAATATTTGTTACATAGAACTAGAACAGTACTGGACTAGAGCTCATTATTCTATAAGACTACTATAAGACAGTTCTGTGTACTCTGCTCAATGCCTACGTTCAGTCTGTCTGAAATTTTATTTTCGGCCTTATTAGAAGCATGTTACCACTAAACCTTTTGGATTTTCTCTCTATCCTTGAGTAGTTTGCTCACATACATATCAATACTGATCAGTACTTAACTGAACTATCCAAAGGGTCCATTTGTCCATCTCCAGAGTTGTAGCTTTGTGCAACACTCTGCTTTGCAGTACTCTGTTTTGTGGACCGTAGCCGCTTTGGTGTCCTTGGACACTAAACTCTGTCTTCTCAACTCATGGTGTCCACTAGGCTCTGATTGGATTCTCCCTTCTTCTATTGAACGCTCAAAATTCTCTCAAGGCTGCAAACTATAGTATCATAGGGATCACTTCATTAGCTTTTTGTCGTTGTTGATGTTCATTTGTTTTAATAGGAGGCTAAATTTAGTCCCTATCACTTCATCTTAGCTGAAAGGAGAAGTTCCACTTTTAATAAATCTTAAGATGTTTTAATTAAGTGCCAAATTTGATTTCCTGTACGTATGTAAAATAATCTTTGCACTTTTTATTATAATATAAATCTAGTACATGTTGCTTTATTTTTAAATTCTTCCTCGGGATTTTAAAGTTCTAAGAAAATATTTTGCCATTTAAAATGACTTAGGAAGGTATACAAGGGCAATTCATTATTTAATAACTACAATTATACTTTATGTGTGAATACCTCTGTTCATATAGTCACCCACTGTAATTTACAGGAAAAAGTGCAGAGTTAATAGCAGGAGAAAGAAAAGATAAAACTCAACTCAAAAAATTTTATTCTGTAACATAATAATGTTAATTCATAAGAGTATATTAACCTGCTATCTGATCATTAAAGTTGTTGTTTGTATGAAACTGTTTTCTTTAAAAATACACAAATGCAGGGTCAGAGACCTATACAGGACTTCATCTCTCCCTCTTCTTTCATAAGATCTGAATTCCAACATGATAGATTTTTTTGGACCATAAAAAGATACTTGTTCTTAAAAAATTACTATTAAACATGTAAACTCCAACTGAAGGTTTAAATTTTGAGTCTTTATTGGTTCACACTTAACAGTGATGATAAGGTCTTGTGGCAACAGGATACCAGTTGCCAAAGGTCAAAGGAGTCAGTTATAAACAAAAGAAACTAGGTAGTGTTGGAAAATAGTAAATCAAATTATTTTCATAGCAACTTATAAAGTCAGTTTAGTTTATCTTTTAATTAACAACTGTACTGCAGAACTATTTTATTTTTTGCTGTGCAACTGTTACTCAATTTGATATAGTCATTCCTCAGTATCTTTGGGGAATTGGTTCCAGGACCCTCATTGATACCAAAATCAGCAGATGCTAAAGTCTCTTACGTGAAATGGCATAGTATTCGCATATAACCTATGCAAACCTCCCATATACTTTAATTATCTCTGGATTACATATAATAGCTAATGTAATGTAAATAGTTGTTATATTATATTGATTTATATTCTTATTTTTATTTTTGTCTTTTTTTCAGATATTTTCTATTTGTGGTTGGTTGAATCTGCAAATGAGGAATCTGTGGATATGATGACTGACTACTTTTAAGGTTTGAGGCTATTTTAGCCTCAGTAACTGCAGTACAAGGGTATTTATCATCAAATTTTACTTTGAGAAGAAAATTATCTGCTCATTTTCTGACACCTTTCTCTAAGAGGCTTCAGCTATCAGAGAGATGTTTGCTTTAGATAGGTTCTATCTAAAATGCAGTATCTCATTCACTGTGGTAAACCTGCTACTTCCACACAAATGTCTTTTCAGCAGAAAATAACAGTAAAATCCTTATCTAGCCCAACACATAGTGTCTTTCTAACATAGCCAGTAATTAAAGTTAACTTAAATAAAATGAGAAAAATATAATTACAAATGAATATAATTGGTAGCACAAATTTAGAGGAGAAAGTGCTGCCTAGCAAACAGGTATATGAAAAAGTGCTCGACATCATTAATCAGTAGAGAAATGTAAATCAAAACTACAATGAGATATCACCTCACTGCAGTGAAAATGGCTTTTATCCAAAAGACAGATAATAACAAATGTTGGTGAGGATGTGGAGAAAAGGGAACCCTTGTACACTGTCAGTGGGAATATAAATTAGTACAATCATTATAGAGAACAGCTTGGAGGTTCCTCAAAAAACTAAAAATAGAGCTACCATTTGATCCAGCAATCCTACTACTATGTATATACCCAAGAGAAAGGAAATCAGGATATCAAATACACGTCTGCACTCTCATGTTTATTGCAGCACTATTCACAATAGCGAAGATTTGGAAGCAACCTAAGTGTCCATCAATAGATGGATGGATAAAGAAAAGGTGGCACATATACACAATGGGGTACTATTCAGCAATAAAACATTATATCTTGTCATTAGCAACAACATGGATGAAACTGGAAGTCATCATGTTAAGTGAAATAAGCCAGATACAGAAAGACAAACATCACATGTGGATGCTAAACATCATCTGTGGACACTAAAAATTAAAATAATTGAATTCATGGGAATAGAGAGTAGAAGGATTGTTACCAGGAGCTAGAAAGGGTAGTAGGGACTTAGGGGGTGATAAGAATGATTAATGGGTAAAAAAAAAAAAAAAACATAGAAAGAATAAATAAGATCAAGTATTTGAAGCACGATAGGGTGACTATAGTCAACAATAACTACATTTTAAAATAAGCAAAAGAATATAATTGGCTTGTTTGTCACACAAAGGACAAATGCTTAAGGTGACGGATACTTCATTGATCCTGATGTGATTATTACATATTGTATGCCTCTATGAAAATATTCCATATACTCCATAAATACATACATCTACTATGTAACCACAGAAATTAAAAATTAAAAAAGAAATACTACCCAGACTAGCATTCCAATTCTCCAGCAGTACATGATATTTCTAAATATATTTTATCAGTGAATATAAATGATGAGAGTCTTTCCTTACAGTTTATTATTAAGTAAGAGCTCCACTAAAATCAGATTTTCTGATAACATCAAATTTGAACGAATTTTTCTTCATGTTGGATTCAGGTAGTTATTTACTTTCTCCATTTAATATTGCTCTTATACTTTGTACTGCTAAAATATCATGTGTTTTATCAACAAAGAAAAATTTGAAGGGCCTTAAAATGCACTTTATTATTTTTTATGTAAACATTTCTCTTTTATCTTTTGCATGACATATTCTCTCTACTCAGAATCTCAGAAAAAAATGGATGACATGGAGAAATCATCAGTGCATACAAAATATGACAGTCATCATTTAAAATTCAAAATCTCTTCAATCTTCCTTTTTAACTTAAGGATCAAGCAAATTGGTATCACAGCATGTTAAAGTTGTACTTTAATTCATATTAAATGAAATAAAAACACTGGAGGGTGGATTTAAAAGCAGGGAGTGTCGTAAAGGAAAAAATAAAAAGCTTATGATAGCGGTTCCCTTTCCCCTGTTCACCACCCACAATCACGCCCATCATTATGGCCAAAGCTTTGTAGGCATGGTTCTCAAAAGCAACCAGTAACCAAGAACCTAGTGCTTTTTTTTTTTTGGCTCCTTACTCAGTTACCTCCACCTCACTCCATGTTCACTAGGAGTGCAAATAATGTAAGTATCTTTTAGTGAATATTAATATTAATATTAACTTAATGAGTATGATTTTCTAAATCATAAATTATAAGCAATAATAAAAGCATGTGTGATAATAAGACTAGGTAAAAATACCTGTCTCTATATATGTATATATTCTTACATATATAAGAATATTCTTATATATGTAAGCATATATAAGCTTACATATATATGCTTATATATATGTAAGCATTCTTATGTAGCAGATAGGTTATATTCTATAAACTATTATGACATAGAACTTTTAGATGAGGTTGACAGAAAGATAAGTAGGATATTGTTTATATATAAAATCTAAGTAATTTCTTTACATATCTTTGAAGAAATCCTCGGTAGTAAGGCTCGAAATTCTTCTTTCACAAGAAGAATTTCCTCTAAACCACAATTTATTATCTGTTCTGCAAATAATATTTTTCAAAGAAGGAAAATTCAAAAGCAATTTAAAATTATCATCCTTATCTTAAGGTGATTCAAAAATTAACTGAAGATATTTACATGATTTTTATTCTGTATTCACTATCTGCCTAAATGATGTGTGGTAAATAGCATTATCTAGTTACATAATTCCAAACACCCTGCCTATACTAATTTCACCCACATCACACCATAAGCTATGACATCTCTAACGAATTCTGAGGTACATATGATTCACATATCCCTGTGGCTATTGCTTTGATTTTAAATGAGCATGGTCATTTAAAATTCTTTCAAATGACGATCTGTTGAATGACTGGTGAAGAATATAGACTCTGGAGTCAAACTGCCCAGGTTCAAAGACTAACAACTTTATCATTAGTTCCTGTGAAGATTATGTGAGATGATATTCATAAAGTTCTTATAATTGTGCCTGCATAAGTGTTACCTATTTATTTTGTTGACTGACAACATGCTACCAAGGAAAATGTCACAGTCATTCATCTCCCACATTTCCACAACCAATCAGTCTCCAACTCATTAATTCTGCCACTGGAACAGTGCTTCAATTTATCTTTTTTTTTCATTAAAAACACCTGAGTTCAGGTTTTTATAATCTCTTCTATAGAAATCTACAAATTGCTAACTGATCTCCAGTTTTCTAGCAGCTACATTCTCAAATATATCATTAACAGTTTCATCAGATTCCTCTTCCAAAGTCATGAATAACAACATGAGACTCCTCTTCAGTGATCTCTTAATGGTTCCCTATCGCTTACAAAAAAAAGTGTGGCATTCAAAGCCTCTGTAATCTGACTCTACATTCTTTTAAACAACAATTTGCTCTTTGCTATATTTTAAATCCTACTGTTTTCCCTAAGCCTCTTAAAACTTTTCAGACATTATCCTCAGATATTCTTTTCTCAGAATAACCTCCATTTAAAATTTGCAAATGGTTTTTAAGGTCCAGCATAAATGCCACTCAGTAGAGAAATTCCTACCTCCTATAGTAGAGACTAAGCATTGCCGCGTTCTACGTCAAACAATTATGTTACCTGCATCTCTATTATGAAGCTTAATTGATTACATATAGCTTCTCCCAATAGAGCATAAAACCCCTGGGAAGCCATTTTATCATCTTCATTTTTGCTTATGTCACAGTGTTTTGCACATAATGAATATATAATTTCCTCTCTTTAGCCATGAATTTTTATTCATTAGAAGAGAGAAGACCATACGTTAAAGTGACATTTTAAAAGAGTCATATGAAACTATATTTTCTAAGTCTTTGAATAAAAATGTATCCTTTTATAAATGTTTAGATAAAACTTTTCCTTTCAAAATCATTCTTCATTCATCTTCATTCTTATCTGTTTGTCAGTGTTGGTCAGATGTTGGAGGCCAGCTTAGTATTTTTACTTATTAGGTAAGTTTGTTTCATATTTTTAATTTGTTTTGTGTTTTAGTTTTAAAATTCCATTTAAAATTTATATAATACTTTTCACATCCATTTAATAATTAAAGAATGAAAGAACTAAAATGGCTGTGAATCTCTTTTTCATAATTTCCTTTGCACCCCAAAGAAGCCCTTTTATTTTGCGTACTAAGATATGTTTTTTTTCTGCAGAAAGTTTTCTTTTGATTAACATTTTTATCAAAATCATTCCTTTTTCTTCTTCATGAATGCCTGTAATTCTAAGGTATAATCTTCATTATCACTTCTCCATATTTCTCCGATATCGTACATTCATATTCCTTGCCTGATCCCTTTGGTTTGCATCCTGAGAATGTTATTCAGATCTTTACTCTGTAACACTGATTCAGTTTTTATCAATGTCACTTTTGCTTTCAACCTGTTGTACAGAGATTTCACTTCTACAGTTACCACTAATATTTTTTGGTTAGTTGTTGTTGTTTTGCAATTCTATATTATCTTTTTCCACAATTTAAAAATGTCATAACTTTTTGTCTTCATTATTTTCCATTTCTTATTCTGTCATTTCTTTTCTGTTCATGTTACATAAATATTCTTAAATAATATTGGTAGGGTGACCATACGTCTTGATTTATGCAGTAAATCCTGGTTTCTTGCTATTGTCCTAGTGTAAATATTAATAGTACCCCTTTTTATTCTCAAAGGTATCCCACTTGATATGATAAATTATATGATCATCTGATGAATGTCAAACATGTATTTTCTAAAAGTTTCTTTTCATCTTTTGACTAATAAGTGTCAATGGTTTTTTTTGTTTTTGTGAATATTAATTAGGTTGGTGTTCCTTTCTCACTGTTTATTTTTCTTGTTCTTCAGTATTGTTTGAAAGATCTATTTGTCTTAATGTTTACTCATTCATGAATGACAAGAGCTCTATAGAGAATATTTGTGCACAGAATGTGTATTTGACCTTAGCTCTATTCACAGAATTTATCTCTTTGTTAACTATTTCTGTACCTGCTGACTATACCCAAAATGATGAAATGATTGACCTCCGTTTTGCAAATGTAAGTGCATTCTATAATATGTGTTTTTTTCAGAATATGCTTCCACCTTTGTACAATTGTGAATGTGAATTCTTTCTGAGAAATCCTAAGAACAGAATAATTTCTCCTTTAATGGGAGAAATCTCCCAACTTGTCTTACTTTCAGGTGATACACATATTTCATAGGGAAATATGTATTGTACCCGTACATATATACTCCTATATCCAGAATCAGATTCTCCTTCTTGTTGGTTATTCCCATGCATTATACATGTGAATTATCTTCAGTTATATCTCATGGTTTAGCTATACATTTTAAGAAATTAAGAAAGTCAGAAAAATAATGAAATAATCATCAGGAAAAGGAAGGAAAAGTGCCTCAAATAAATTTCTATGGCTTCTTAGCTTCCAAGACTTTATCATTATCTGTTCCAGTATAATAAAATGCTCTCTGACTTCAGATTTCTCTGAGAACTTTCTTTCTCAGGAAGGAAGAAGGAGGATTTAAAGACAACAAAGAGAAAGAATGAGCACAATATGAGCACAATAAAATGTTCATGAAATGGACATACGGAATAGAACCTTACTTGACAAAGACTATTTCAGGTTTTTCCTCCCAAATAATCTCTGGTATCTAGTTCACAGCACTTCACTTTTTCTAAGTTGATTGCCCCCATGTATCAATGGACCTTCAAGGACTTTTCTCCTTCTCTTGTTTATTACTGAGACATTTTCTGTTGTATCTGCTGATAACCAAAACCTTTTTTCCCCTCTAAAGAATTTCTACAATAAAATTCCAGTGAAAATGTTAGAATCTCTGAGTGTTCCCAACAAAACAGGATCCTTCTTTTCCTCTCAAGTTCTCGAAAAGTTAAGATGAAAGAATTAACGTGAAGCCAAAATATTACCTTTCTTGCTATGGAGTGCAGTTTGAGGGAATGTAGCTTTAACCATGTTGGCTGAGAGGGCCTAATAATACTTGTGGTAAGCAGAAAATGCCCCCCAAAATATACTCACCCCAATTCCCAGAACTTGTGAATATGTTGCATTATACGACAAAAGGGACATTGTAGGTGTGATTAACATTGCACATCCTAAAGATTATTCTGAATTGTCCATATCAAACCTATCTAATCACATGAGTTCATGGAAGCAGAGGGCTTTCTCCAGTAGGGGTATGAAAGATGCAGCAGAATAAATAGTTGGATTTACTGAAAGCTTAAGAGAGAACTGGCCCACTGATGGGTTCCAGAACACATGAGAAGGAATGTGGACACCTCTAGGAGCAAAGACTGTCCTTGACTGACAGCCAGCAAAGAAACAGATGTTTCAGACCTACAACTACAAGAAATTGGGATTCTACAAATTACCGGTTTATAAGTAGATTCATTACAGATAAGAGCCTAAATCTGTAATTTTGGCATTGAACAATCTGCAGAACAGAAACCAGCCAAACCAACACAGATTTCTGAAACTGAAAATATATATATTTTTTGTTTTAAGCTACCATTGTTTGTAGTAATTTGTTACAGAAGCAATAGAAAACCAATACATTACTGTACGCCTTAAATAAGCAGACTTATCTGCCCAATTCCAGCAAATGATGAGAAAGGGAAAGATCCTAAAGAGTGGACAGTTTTGTGGAGGAGAGAGTACCCTGCAATCGGGCAACTGTGAAAGAAAAGAAGAGGTGAGGAGAGCACAAGTCTTGTTTTTCTGCCCGCTTTACCTATCATCAATGAATAATTATTCTTTTAGGTACAGAAGTAACTCCAAAAGACTAGGATAACGTTGGCCAAGTTCTCGTTCTAGGAAAAAAAATCAGAGGCAGAAAAGAAGTATATGTCTTCATTGAGATATAATTTAATTGACATTCAAATATAATTTTTGAGTCTAAAATATGCTAATAAACAATTTTATTAGTGAACATAGACTATATATCTATCTGAAAAGGACTTTGTTATTGACTATAATTAGAAAGATCATTTTGCAGTCAGGTTTGGATTTCTCCATACCTGTCATTTATGCAGCATATTTTCCAAAAACATAATATTAAGAAAAGAAAAATTAAAAACTAAGATAAATTGTATAATTAGATCTATAATGTGAACACTATTGCCAAATTGAATTTTTAAAACTTTAAAAATTATATATACTGAAATATTTTTAAAGTTGTATGATATATTTACTATGTATATGACTATTCAAAATTTATGTCAACCCTAAAAGTGTGTATATTTTTTATATCAGTTACAAATGAATATAATTAATTTTACAATTAACCTTAATAACATGAAGAAAAATTTGTGACTTTTATTAAATTGTTTATTACTTAGTTTCAAATTTAAAAGAATTTATTTTAATTAGTAAGACCTTTAGGCCCAAATGTTAAAGGTATAAAACAGTAATTAATTATATGCAAATGAAATGCATTGACATAATATAATACTGCAACTCAAAACTTTTGCTTACTATACACGGTTTTACTTTATGTGCAAAATGTAGACCAGCATTTTATAATTTTTTTCAAATAGGTATAATAAATATTGTGAATAGTAAATAATTTATTCTAAGTATACTTTTTGTTCTGAAAGAAAATTTCAGGATAATACATTTGTGTGGTTTTTTGTTTGTTTTATTCTTTTCGATAATGGGGGGTGAGATAAGGGAAAACCCAGATATATGAGTTTCAGTTCACTTACAAATTTAAATAAAATGTAAAACTGCTTTAGCAGGCACCACTACTAATGCCATATGATAAAAATATGAATAAAATAATGTATTTAATTATAAAAATGGGAGTGAGTTTCCCTCACTATTGCTGATCACTTATTAAGAGGGTATCACATATGAAACATTAGTCTATATCTGTACTGTCCAAGATGGTGGCCGTTGGTCTATGGGCTATTTACATTTAAGTTAATAAAATTAAATAAAATTTAAAAATTAGTTTGTCATTTAAAATAGCCACATTCTGAGTGTTCAATAACAACTTGTGGTGAGTAGCTACCATATTGGAGAGCACAGGTGTAGAATATTTCCATTACTACAGAAAACTCTATTGAACAGTGCTGATCAATATGGCGAAGATCCAAACTATATGATAGAGTGTTTTCATGCAAGGATCTTAAAATTTCGAATGAATGCTAGAGATATTAAATGCTAGTCTAAATGTCTTTATGAACCAAAATAACGGCATGGAAGCTGACAAGTTGAGGGATTAAAGGGTAACAAAATCTTATCCTTGTTACACCAAGGAAAATCTTCCCCATTTCCTTTTTCTGCATTCAGTCCCTCCCCTCCAATCCTTGCTCATTAGGACACTCAACATGATGTCTTCAATTATTTTAGGATTGAAAGAGGTGACAGAGAAAAGGAGAGACAAAGGGAGGAAGGGCTGAAGAAGAATATGCAGTTTCAGCTTTCAAGCTACACTCTGCAGAACTTCCACATAACGAAGCGCACTAAGATAAATTACCTGCTTGAAATAGGGAGAAGAAAAAATACAAGAAGAACAAAGGCAAATAAATATCTCAATAAAGTATTCTTCTACCAAAAAAATCAAAGATGTTTCTTTACTGTATGTATTCTCACCCTTAGCTTCCAATGCCTTTTTTATAGTGAAGAACTTTTTCTAGAAATAATGAAAATGTTAGCATTTGTATTATTCTAAATAATATTTTCAGAGAAATGATGAAAAAGGATGATAGGAACAGTAACAATAAAATGATGAAAATGTGAAACCGCATAAACTAGGCTAGCATACAAGTAGAAGATCTCCCAACTGTTTAACCTTTATTCTCAAAAGGAAAAAGAAAAAGCAATTGCAATCACATTACGAGTGCCTGGCCTAGGTTTTTAACATGATTAGGAGATTTCATGCATGATGTCCTAAAGAGAAGGCAATCAAGAAAATAATTTTGCATGCTGTATATTAATGAATGTCACCATATTAATAGTAGTAAAGGCACAAACTGCAATTACTTTTTCCTTTTCCAACTCTTCATGTCTTTAGTATTTATTTCTTAATAAAACAAGCCAAAAAAAATTTTTAAGTGGTATAATGGCCTATGAAAATCCAGTAAAAGTTTGGATCCTAATATATACATTAAAATGATAAAGTTTACATAGACATTAAAAAGAAAATGCTAAGAATCTATTTGGAATTAGTAAAACGTTATACCAACAAATAAAAATATTTATATCATTGTGGTAGGATTCATGATAGAGAATGATAAGTAATTTAATGATGTGTAAGGATCTTCAGTGTGAATGTCTTTAAACCAATGCAGAAAACAGACAAATTCTTGGAATAAAGATTAAAAGATATAAAATCAAATCCCGACAGATTTAATCAAAGAATAAATGCAAGCAAGCACAACAACTTCAATAATGAAAAATTACAAAATATATTTTTCAACAAAAATAAAAACTAATGGCAATAGCAGTCTATTTTTACATGCTTATGCTTTTGTGTCTTTCTCAGCAACTTAAGGCAGAGGAATAAATAATTGTATTTTGTGGCATAATAGTCATAAAAATAATAGGTTTTATGTGGTAGAATTGACCTCAGGAAACTAAAAACAAAATCATCATGTACTTTGAATAAAATTAATAATAAATTATTAAATTTATTTAGAAGATTAAAAAGGTTTCATAACTATATTATATGTCCTATGATAATTTTGAATAACACCATTTAATAAGTAGCTGAACAAGACAAAAAAGACAATGGGAAAAGATAGTCTTGTGTACTCTCAAATAACTTTGACAACCGAGAGGATTTCTCTGATTGTTTAGTTCATTTGAGTTACAAAGAACAGATACAAGTGGCTGTTTCCTAAACCAATTGTGAGTTATTCTAAGGACCATTAAAAAATGTAAAGAAGTATGAGAGAGTATCCAGAAGAGGACCAGCCTGGCTTTCAGTGAAGTGGATGGTTTTTCACGATACAAACAAGTAATCTCATTGTCCTATCGTCCCAACAGCAGCAGGTGTCTTTTTTTTTTTCTTTTTTTTTTCTTTTGAGACGGAGTCTCCAGAGTCTCGCTCTGTCGCCCAGGCTGGAGTGCGGTGGTGCGATCTCAGCTCACTGCAAGCTCCGCCTCCCGGGTTCACGCCATTCTCCTGCCTCAACCTCCCAAGTAGCTGGGACTACAGGCACCCGCCACCACGCCCGACTAATTTTTTGTAATTTTAGTCGAGACGGGGTTTCACTGTGTTACCCAGGATGGTCTCAATCTCCTGACTTTGCGATCCACCCAACTCGGCCTCCCAAAGTGCTGGGATTACAGGCATGAACCATCCATCATGTTGGCAACACAGGATATCTTTTTCTTTACTGATTTATTCTGTGGCTATCACTATTTAATCCTAAGTAAGATTTTTATGCAATTTTCACAGGAGTGTATATCAGATTGATTGGTAAATTATCAATCAGTACACAGTGATCTATTTTTTAATTTATACACATCATTGGCCACTAGCCAAACCACAGATGACCTCCTTTGCATCAGTCACTGATCATCCTGAGCTCAATAACTATAGCCAGGATAGTAGGTACAATCTATGGCTTATGAATAAGGACAACCTGGAGAAGTTTTTCTTTTTTTTTTTTTTTAAGTTCTGGGGTACAGGTACAGAACATGAGGTTTTTTTACATAGGAATATATATACCATGGTGGTTTGCTGCACCCATCAACCTGTCACCTACCTTAGGTATTTCTCCTAATGCTATTCCTCCTCTATCCCCCCACACCCCCTAACAGGCCCTGGTGTGTGATGTTCCCCTCCCTGCATCCATGTGTTCTCACTGTTCAACTCCCACTTATGACTGAGAACATACAGTCTTTGGTTTTCTGTGCTTGTGTTAGTTTGCTGAGAATGATGGTTTCCAGCTCCATCCATGTCCCTGCAAAGGACATAAACTCATCCTTTTTCGTGGCTGCATAGTATTCCATGGTGCATATGTGCCACATTTTCTTTATCCAGTCTATCATTGATTGACATTTGGGTTGGTTCCAAGTCTTTGCTATTGTGAATAGCATCACAATAAACATATGTGTGCAAGTGTTTTTACAGTAGAATGATTTATAATCCTTTCGGTATATACCCAGTAATGGGATTGCTAGCTCAAATGGTATTTCTAGTTCTAGATCCTTGAGGAATCACCAGACTGTCTTCCACAATGGTTGAACTAGTTTACAGTCCCACCAACAGTGTAAAAGTATTCCTGTTTCTCCATATCCTCTCCAGCATCTGTTGTTTCCTGACTTTTTAATGATCACCATTCTAACTGGCGTGAGATGGTATACAATTGTGGTTTTGATTTGCATTTCTCTAATGACCAGTGATGATGAGCTTTTTTTCATATGTTTGTGGGCTGCATATATGTCTTCTTTTGAGAAGTGTTTGTTCATATCCTTTGCCCACTTTTTGACGGTTTTTTTTTTAATAAATTTGTTTGAGTTCTTTGTAGATTCTTGATATTAGCCCTTTGTCAGATGGATAGATGGCAAAAATTTTCTACCATTCTGTAGGTTGCCTGTTCACTCTGATGATAGTTTCTTCTGCTGTGCAGAAGCTCTTTAGGTTAATTAGATCCCATTTGTCTATTTTGGGTTTTGTTGCCATTGCTTTTGTTGTTTTAATCATGAAGTCTTTGCACATGCCTATGTCCTGAACGTTATTGCCTAGGTTTTCTTCTAGGATTTTTATGGTTATACATCTTACGTTTAAGTCTTTAATCCATCTTGAGTTAATTTTTGTATAAGGTGTAAGGAAATGGTCTAGTTTCAGTTTTCTGCATATGGCTAGCCAGTTTTCCCAACACCATTTATTAAATAGGGAATCCTTTCCCCATGACTTGTTTGTGTCAACAACCTGGAGAAGTTTTTCTTAAAAGGAGAAAGTATCAAATGGCATTAAGAAGCTCAATTTGTAGAGTAAGATAAAGATTTAGGGTGACCCAATAGCAGGTTTGAGAAATCAGGCAAGAAAATTACTGTAAGAGTCAGAAATTACTTGTCTATTAAATAGCAATTCAACAAAATATTCTCTGAATACCTACATGTACTAGGTATCATTCTGGGTACATGGTAAATCCCTTAGAACTCAAGTAATCAAAGTAGAGCCCTCATCGTGCTGAAATTCTGGTGTAGAATAATAGACAAAGTAAATTATTAATGAAATAAGTAAAGAATGTAATATATTCATAAGTGACTAAGTGTTATAGGAGAAAGACATACATCGAGAAAGACCAGAATAAGATGGACTCGGGGTGATTGGGGAGAGGAGTTACAGATGTGAATAGGCTGATTGTTTCCTTGAGAAAATGACAGTGGAGCAAAGAGACTCAAAAGAAGTGTGGTCCTTAACTCTACCAGCAAGAAGGATGGGAGGCAGCAAAGAGTCTGACATGACAGCCCACAAAGTTCTGGTTTTTCCCAGGGTATTTTGACTTTTTCCATATCAATCATTCCAAAATAGCATTTTCTTTTGGCGTGGGGAGGATACTTCTACTGCATTGGAGTTCAAACACAGAGCAATCTAGATGACTACCTATTCCCCAGATACTCTCAGGCCACATGGGCTCCATTCATTTACACATTCTTTTTCTCTACTATGAGTGTTACAGGAAAGGGGTCCCTATCCAGGCCCCAAGAGAGGGTTCTTGGATCTCACGCAAGAAAGAATTCAGGACAAGTCCACAGTGCAAAGTAAAAGCAAGTTTAATAAAGTAAAGTAGTGAAAGCACAGCTACTCCATAGAAAGAGCAGGGTGTTCCTATAAGTAAAAGGAAGAACGCATCCACTCTAGGTACGATACTCATATATATGGCGAGATAGGCTCTGCTACAAAGGTTTGTAATAAAGTATTAATTTTCTTAATTACTATAATTTGCAAGAATCAATATTATTATCTTTAAAGCAAAATTAGGAATGCCTTTGTTCTCCAGATTTCAGGATACCTGGACATTCTCAAGTCTGGGTCTGTTTAGTAAACATTATTAATTTGTTCCCTTAATCATAAACATCTAAAGGCTAGGAATGCCTGACTTTCTCAGAATGCAGCCCCACAAGTCCAGCCTCCTTTTCCTAGCCCTCACTCAAGATGATGTTGCTCTGGTTCGAACACCTCTGGTCTGAGTAATTCCCTGTCCAACTACATTAAAGCATCAAAAATGTTATTTTCTTGACTAGGGTTACATCAAACACTTTCTGCTTCATAAAATCTTCCATGATACTCGGTTTACGTATCAGTTAAAAATTGTTAATCTAACCATTTAATCATTAATTCAACCTACAACATTGATTACGTGCATACTATGTGCCAGATATTTACTGTTTCTTGGAGTACCAAACATAAGTGAAAAATACAACTAATTCCCAGAAGTTTAAAGTCTAGTTACTCTGTTGATGCTACCTTACCATCTTAATCTACATTATTCTATTTCGTACTCTCATTATTTTTTGTCGTTCATATTCAGTTTTTCATTATTTGATTATCATTCATATTCTGAATATGGGCTTTCATGAGGACAACCAAGCTTGAATTCTTGTCCTTGATTTACTATTTATTTGACTTTGAGTAAATTAATCATTCTAAATTTTATTTTATGCAATTATAAAATTGAAACTATAAACACTGCAACAAATTGTTATAAGTAACAATTTGACACTGTGTATACAAATGTTTCAAAGACATTAATTTTTTTTTTAATTTTAGTACCTACTTCTGTCTTGAGCTTTACTCTTGAGAGCAGGACAGAGAATGTGATATACATTTGTTTATTCCAAACAATGTCTTACTAAGTAGTGCACATTTAATAAATACATATTTAATTGATTCTAGACTTAACTAAAATAGAAACTATTTTTATAAGCATAACTTGCTAAAAATGTATAGTATAGGTTCCATAAATTTTGATTCAAATAAATAAAAGTCAACTAATTAGTTAATGGCAAAAGTTTTCCTTAATTCAGTAATTTTTATTTCAAAAGAAAAATCCACAGTATTTCTAACTCAGTCTACTAGGAAAGCAATATCCTAATATGTGACCCTGAAAATGATATATAAAAAAAGAGAAAACTCTGTATTTTCTAATTTTTGGATATTGATGCAAAAATTTCCAGAAAATACTAGCAAATAAATGCAAATTAAAATAATAATTCCTTAATTCCTAAACCATATAATCCCAGGAATGTGTGGATTATTAAACTTTAGGATCTCTTCCAATGTATTACATTACATAAATGAATTAAAAATACAAAACCAATTTGCAATTTTTTTGATTGATGAAGATAAACAAATACCTAACACTTACTGAGCATTTACTATGACACAGGTAATGTTCTAGCTCACATTTATCAATTCATGTCATTCTACCATGATCCTATGTAATAAGTACAATCACTAGGCTATTTAAAGATAAGGACATTGAGGCACAAGAGGTTTAAATAAAGCATAAAGTCTCATAGACAGTGAGTGGCTGAGCCACAATGTAAACTTGGCTAGAAACCATATACTTAACTGATACAATATTGCCTCTCTTGGCAAACTTCAACAATAATTACTAAAAAAAAATAAAATATAAGTTTCTTCCTTTGATACAAGGTATCTCCCAGAAATTAACATGATTACTTTTAACATACTAGAAGAGTTTTCATTAAATTCAGAAATGAGAAAGGATACATGCAATAATATTTTTTATTAAATTATATTAAAAATACTATTTTTTAAAATGGTAAGTTACACTTAAAAAAACTTTTATTTCAAGTTCAGGAATACATGTGCAGGTTTGTTACACAGGTAAATGGGTGTCATGGAGGTTTGTTGTACAGATTATTTCATCATCCAGGTATTAAGTCTAGTACCCACTAAATGTTTTTCTTGATCCTCTCCCTCCTCCCACCCTCCACGTTCCAATAGGCCCCAGTGTGTGTTGTTCCTCTCTATGTGTCTACATGTTCTCATAATTTAGCTCCCACTTACAGGTGAGAACATGTGGTATTTGGTTTTCTGCTCCTGTGTAAGTTTGCCAAGGATAATGCCTCCAGCTTCATCCACGTCCCTGCAAAGAACATAATCTCATTGTTTTTATGGCTGCATAGTATCCCCCAAAATACTATTATTTTTAAATATTGTGTTAGATTATATCCAATAGATTAAAAAGGAAAAAATACACACATATATTGAAAAAAGATTATTTAAAGGCAACACTATTATCTAATTAAAAATCTTTATGAATCAATTTATAATTTGTAGAATAGACACACAGAAATAAAATTATTATTGCAACCAATAATGCAAAAACTTTAAAATAACTATAAAATATAACAGAAATGTATAAACTTCCACAGACTGATTTTGTATGTCATTTTTCTGTATAGGTACAGTTAATATTATAAAGATAGTGACTAATTACAAAACAAGGCAGTATATATTTGGAATAACAAACTAAAATATAATCAGAAAAATTAAATGTGCAAAAATAGCCAAGATTATTTTTACAGAGAAAAAATATATGAAGGGGCTTTTCATATCTATCATGCGTTTATATGCACACGTTTATGCACACACACACAAACACACACACAGCTACTTAAATAAGAATACCACAGTTATGGTAAAAAAAAAAATAGGTAAATGCATCTATAAAACAGAATTGAGAATTTAGAAAAGAACTTTTTTATATTTGAGAATCTGATAGGTGAACGATAATAGATAACTTTAAAAAGTCATTTAAGTTTAGTAAGAATGGAAATGACTTAAGTATAACAGAAAAAACAAGAAGTCACAATAGAATGAAATTGACTTGTGTACATTAAAGTAAGACATCTGTATAGAAAACTATATTGTAATCATAAACAATAAATAAGCCAGAAAAAAATATTAATAAAAATAGATCAATATTATTACTGTATAAAGAAGTTTAAGTACATACATCTTAAGTGAATAAGAAAAAAATTTTCAAAAGAAAAATTAGAAAAAGTTTAAAAACATTTGACAATGGAAAATATAAAAACCAATATGTAAAAGTGTGTTCATGATCAGTAATCAAATTAATTCAAATTAATATAACAATAAAAACATTAATTTGTAAGACTGATAATTAAAGAGATTAATGCCACACAGCATTGACAATAATATTGGTGAGAAAGTAACCTAGCACAATTTCTTTGTGAGACAATTTTGCATTACCTCTCAATAATTTGAACATGCTGTCTTCTTCTAACAATTCCAATGCTGAAGTCTTATGTAAAAAAATAAGCGACTGTATGTTCACTGCAGCATTACGTATAATAATTCCTCTCTTCTACAAAAGTTGTAAATAGTATGCAAAGATACTTAAAAATTATTAATCTTCTTCACTGTAATTATGAAATTGCATATGTTAACATAGAATGTACTTTTTTTTTTGAGACGGAGTCTCGCTCTGTCGCCCAGGCTGGAGTGCAGTGGTGTGATCTCGGCTCACTGCAAGCTCCGCCTCCCGGCTCACTGCAAGCTCCGCCTGCCAGTTCACGCCATTCTCCTGCCTCAGCCTCCGGAGTAGCTGGGACTACAGGCACCCGTCACCACGCCCGGCTAATTTTTTTGTATTTTTAGTAGAGACGGGGTTTCACCGTGTTAGCCAGGATGGTCTCGATCTCACATAAGTCTATTTTGCCATCACAGAATCTATTTTGATGCATGTGTATGTTGTGTGTATCTATATATGGCATTTAATTTTTGTTAATTGTAAGTATACAAACCAAAATTTTTATTGTGGTTAGCTCTAGGAAGTAAAATTTTTGGTGATAATGAAGAAATACTCTTATTTAACTTTATAACATTTCCTACTATGAGTTATTTTATTTACAATTAGCATCTGTCATTTTGTAAAAAACAATCCTATCTGCAAAAGTATAAATTAAAAAATCATGAAATAGTGCAGACAGATGATAAGGGATTTGTCTTTAATATTTAAATATCTATTTTAAGTTGTCATGATTATCTTCTCATTCAGTAAAATATACAAGCAAAACACTATTCACAGATCAAACTAGGAGTCAACCTACTAAACTTTGGAATTATCATGTTACTACTAGATACCCCGTTAATTGAAAAATTCTTCTTTACTTCGGCGTAAATTTCCAGAATGACTATTCTTTCCTCTTTACCAGTATCCTTTTTCCACCTTTATAAAATCCAAGCAAGGTAGAAATGTTCAAAGGGAAGACTTTAAGGCTTACTTCATTTTCAGACTTGACAATCAGCCATCAGAGGATCAGATTTCACAGGAGTTATAATTCCCTAAGGCATTTGGGTCAAACTAAAGGGCCCTTTCTATCTCTGATAATATCTAAATGCAGACTACCTGCCTACTTTAAACCAGACTTATCTATGTGAAGTTACACCTTGACAGCCCACTTCAGATATTTCCCCCCTCACCAATGACTGAATTTCAAACTGCCAAGAAGTATTTCTCATTGTACTCTGACACACAACATGTTGATTTTTCTGCTTCACTAGCAAATGAAAATGAAATTACCCACAGGGTTTCCCAGTCCGAACGGCATTCTGTCATTCCTGACACCAGAAATTCTGTTTTCCTGTTGCAAAGTACTATAGGGATATTCTATGTGAGCTCCCTAGTAGCATACAAAATGGTTTGAAATTAGAAGCAAAAATCTTCGCCTTAGTTTAGGATTTGGTCATCTTAAGAATAATGCCATATTCAAATTTTAAGTATTAGAAAAGAAGAAGTACTGGCATCCCAGTCACCTAGTTATTTGTAGTCATTCTATGTAATTTAAGGGAAAATAAAAGTTCAAGGCAGTACAAATGCCAGCTGACAACAATCTCCTCTTGCTGAAAGGCTAATAGGTCCCTTGTTAAAGCATCATCAGAATTTACTTTTTTTTTTTCTTTTCACACACTTAGTATTTTGAATGCTACATTTTTACCTTGTGAGAGATTTACTTTTCTATACCATTTATTTGGTATCCAGTTATAATATTAGAAAGCGTTGTCTATTATATAAGGAGAAGGAGCATATAACAGAAAATGACTATAATTATGAAGTTCTTCCTGTATGTCAGATAATATTTCAAGTGCTTTAAGAGTGTTATCTGAGGCTTTTCTAATGGAAGCCTCAAAACAGTTCTACATGAACAGTCAGAACTATTTTGGATTGAGGTACGGATAGATTCAATGTCTTTCTCAAACTAACTCAGCTTTGAAAGTGACTAAGTGGAACCAGGATTTGAATGTAAGCAATCTGATTTTAGAACTCAACACTCTTAACATTAATGTACACCTAACATACAAAGTGCTGCCACTGGAATTCTTGAAGTGGAGCCACTGATGTAAAGGAATACAAAAATTCTGATAGACTGTCCGTGGAAGTGAGGACACCTAGAAGCAACCTAGCAAATGTGAAACTTTACTGAAGAGTTTTGTAAGAATCTGCAGATTCTTAAAACAGAAGGAATTTCTACACCATAACTGAAAGTCTCATTGCCTAGAGCTTATTGCAAGTGACTTCCATTCATATATCTAGGGATATAATTTTCTGTAAGTATTAGAGTTTATAATAACATATTATATAGAAATTTTAGTAAAAGATGTTTTTACCAAGTAACTAAGTGAAATATCAGGACCTCCCTTTATCATCTTTTACATATTGAATAATCATTATAATAACCAATTTCAGAATACACATTGCTTTCCTTAATCCACTGACAAAATACATCATAAAGAAAAGAAAAGCTACACAACAGCTGATAAATATTTCTATGTCTAAAATATATACAATTTTCTTGGAACAAATACTTAGGAAATTCTCATGACCTGAAGCACAGAGTCTTAAAATTATCCTTTAGGTGTTTAAACTACTTTAAATGATCTACCTACACCAACAGCTGGTTCCCAATGTTCCTGCCAGTTTCGATGAAAACTCTCATCAACAGCCTGCCATACCTTGTAAGCCTATTGCTTTTACATTCAAATCTCTTGAAAAAGAAAAAAAAAAGTCATATCAAAGCTTATGACTGTAAATGGGTGTGTAAATATGCTGGGGTATTTATAACCATCCAAGCCCCTAATTCTGTCTCTGCTTTCTCTAAGGACTTCCTTTTTTATATTTTTTTGAAAAAATCAATTATATCTCCTCTTCTACAACTGTAACCCCATTCTCTCCTATTTCATGCTTTTACCTCTTAATGACTATCTTTCCTCCTCCTTCCCTCTTTTTTATTGCCAACCTCCTTGCTTTCATTGACCCTGTAATATGATTTTTATTCATACCACTAAATTGAAATAACACTCAAAATTTCATAAATAATCTCCTAGTTGCAAATGTAATGGTTGATATTAAAACTGCAGTCAGTATATGGTTTTATCAATTATTCTATTGAACCATTTATTCTTTGAGTTCCAGAGGAACTATGACAATTTGATTGTCTTCCTATATCTCTGATAATTTTTCTCAATTTCTCTTGCTATTTTCCTTTCTGATATGGTTTGGCTCTGCCCCCACCTGAATCTCATCCTCAATTGTAGCTCCCATAATCCCTACAAAATCATTTCAAATGAGGATCTATTGAAAAATTGGTGAAGAATATAGACCTGGTGGGTGGTGATTGAATCATGGGGGCAGGTTCTACTGTGCTGTTCTTGGGATAGTTAATAATTCTTACAAGATCTGATGGTTTTATAAAGGGCAGTTCCCCTGCACATGCTCTCTCTTGCCTGCCACCAGGTAAGATTTGCCTTTGCTCCTCCTTCACCTTCCGCCATGATTGTGAGGCCTCCCCAGTGATGTGGAAGTGGGAATCCATTAAACCTCTTTTTCTTTGTAAATTACCCTATCTTGGGTATTTCTTTATAGCAGTATGAAAATGGACTAATACAGTAAATTGGTACTGGTAGAGTTGGATACTGATATTAAGATACCCAAAAATGTGGAAGTGACTTTGGAACTGTGTGACAGGCAGAGGTTGGAACAGTTTGGCAGGCTCAGAAGAAGACAGGACGATGTGGGAAAGTGTGGAGCTCCCTAGAGACTTGTTTACTAGTTTTGACCAAAATGCTGATAGTGATATGGACAATAAAGTCCAGGCTGAGGTGGTCTTAGATGGAGATAAGAAACTTATTGGGAACTGGAGAAAAGATTATTCTTGCTATGCATTAGCAAAGAGACTGGTAGCCCCTGCCCTAGAGATCTGTGGAACTTTGAACTTGAGGGAGATGATTTGGAGTATCTGGTGAAAGAAATTTCTAAGCAGCAAAGCATTCAAGATATGACGTGTGTGCTCTTAAAAGCATTCAGTTTTATTCATTCACAAAGATACAGTTTGGTATTGGAACTTATATTTAAAAGGGAAGTGGAGAATAAAAGTTTAGAAAATTTGCAGCTAACTGCAATAGAAAAGAAAAACCTACTTTCTGAGGAGAAATTCAAGCTGGCAGTAGAAATTTCTGTAAGTAACAAGGAGCCAAATGTTAATCACTAAGACAATGGGGAAAGTATCTCCAGGGCATGTCAGAGGTCCTCACGGCAGCCCCTTCCATCACAAGCCAGGAGGCCTAGAAAGAAAAAAATTGTTTTATGGGCTGAGCCCAGAGTCTTGCTGCTTTCTGCAGTCTCAGGACTTGGTGCCCTGCATCCCAGCCGTGGCTAAAAGGGGCCAGCGTACAGCTCAGGCCATTGCTTCAGATGGTGCAAACACCAAGTCTTGGCGGCTTACATGTGGTGTTTGACCTGTGAGTGCACAGAAGTCAAGAATTGAGATTTGGGAACCTCCCCCTAGATTTCAGAGGATGTACAAAAACGCCTGGATGTCCAGGCAGAGGTGTGCTACAGGGGCAGAGCCCTCATGGATAGCCTCTGCCAGGGCAGTGAAGAAGGGAATTGTGGGGTAGGAACCCCCACACAGAGTCCCTGCTGGGGCACTGTGTAGTGGAGCTGTGAGAAAAGGGTCACTGTCCTGCAGACCTTACAATGGAAGATCCACCTATGGCTTGCACCATGCGCCTAGAAAAGCCACAGACATTCAAAGCCTGCCCATGAAAACAGCCAGGAGGGAGGTTGTACCAAGCAAGGCCACAGGGGTGGAGCTGCCCAAGACTATGGGAACCCACCTTTTGCATCAGCGTGACCTGTATGTGAGACATGGAGGCAAAGGAGGTCATTAGTTTGACTGCCCTGCTGGATATCAGACTTACAATGGGTCTATAGCCCCTTTGTTTTGGCCAATTTCTCCCATTGGAAATGGGTGTATTTACCCAATGCCTGTATCCCCTTTGTATTTAGGAAGTAACTTGCTTTAGATCTTACAGGCTTATAGGTGGAAGGGACTTGCCTTGTTTCAGATAAGACTCAGGACTATGGACTTTTGAGTTAATGCTGAAATGAGTTAAGATTTTGAGGGAACTGTTAGAAAGGCATGATTGGTTTTGAAATGTGAAGACATGAGATTTTGGAGGGGCCAGGGGTGGAACGATAGGATGTGGCTGTGTCCCCACCCAAATCTCATCTTGAATTATAGTTCCCATAATTCCTACATGTCATGGGAGGGACCTGGTGGGAAGTAATTGAATCATGGGGGCAGGGTTTTCCCATGGTGTTCTCGTGATAGAGAATAAGTCTCACGAGATCTGATGACTTTATAAAGGGCAGTTCCCCTGCACATGCTGTCTTGCCTGCTGCCATGTAAGACATGCCTTTGCTTCTTCTTTGCCTTCTACCATGATTGTAAAGCCTCCCAAGCCATGTGGAACTGTGAATCCATTAAACCTCTTTTTCTTTATAAATTACCCATTCTCAGGTATTTCTTCATAGCAGTATGAAAATAGACTAATATTCTTTCCTTCTACTATTCTTTGAATATTCCTGATATCTAATGTTGCTAAATGTTCCTTTTTGAAATTCTCTCCCACTTGCTAATCATGGGATTCTCTCTACTACTCCATGGTTTCTAATGTTCTCTCTACTACTCCATGATATTTAATGTTGCTGAATGTTCCTTTTTGAAATTCTCTCCCACTTGCTAATCATGGGATTCTCTCTACTACTCCATGGTTTCAATTCATACCTATAGGTCAACACCTACCCAGAACATTTACAGATTAAATGGTGAACAGAATTGCAGACTCACATTTCCAAGGTCTTCTATATATCTCACTTGGATATCCCACAAACATGTTAAATTTAGACAACCTCAAATTAAAATATATCAACAAATCTTTATTACCTCCATCAGTCATCCTGCCTTCACAAGCCTGCTTCTCTGCCTGCTTTGCCTATTTCAGTTAATGACATAACTATTCACCCAATCACTCAGGCTAGAAATTATAAAATCAGGTTTGATTTTACAGTCTCAACATTCTTCCCCATCAATTCCACTTCTAGTCAGTCTAAAATTGTTGACTTTCAACTCCAGAAAAAAAAGTCTTTTTCTTTTTAAATTGTATCCTCTCCAACTAAACTGAAATAATAATTTCTTAAGATTACTATATTACATTACTACAGAGAAAAGTATTATATTTTCAAATTATAAATGCTCTATATTTAAAATCTTTAGATGAGTCCTCCTGACCTAGAAGAAAAGCCAAAGTCTAGAATTCTTCGGGCATGGGATGCAAAATGGTTTACAGTCTGGCTCCAGGTGCATTTCCAGTTTTACCCACCATAATTCTCTCCCATACATTTTTTAATCAAACTTACTATTTTACCTAATTTTAGATTCACATGTAGTTATAAAAAAAAGTACACAGAGATCCTTTGTACCTTTTGTCCGTTTTTTCACAATGGTAGCAACTTGCAAAACTACAGTACAAATATCACAGCCAGGATATTCATATTGATACAATCAAGAAAAAAATGTTCCATACAGGATCACTCATCTTGCCTTTTCACACAACCCCTTCCATCCTCACTACTTTCTTAACCATGGCAACTACTATTCCTTTCTTCATTTCTATAATTTTGTCATTTCAAGAATGTTATATAATCATACAGTATGTAACCTTTTGGGATTTGCTTTTAACATTTGGCAGGATTCCTGTGAAATTCATATATGCTGCAGCATGTATAAATTGTTCCATTATTGCTGAGTAGTAATACATGGCACGGATGTACTGCAGTTGATTTACTATTCACCCATTGAAGGATGTCTGGGTTATTTCTAGTATTGGACTATCAAAAATAATCCTTCCATAAACATTTATATACATGTTTTATGTAAACACGAATCTTCATTTATCTGAGATAAATGTCTAGGAGTGCAATGGGGGAATAATATGATAGTTGCATGTTTAGGTTGTTTAAGAAATTGCCATAATAATTCCCAGGGTTGTTGTATCATTTTATATTCCCACCAACAATGTATGACTGTTTTTTTTTTCTCCTCAGTCTTATTTGACATTGTCAATATTTTCTACTTTAAACATCTTACAGGTATATAGCAATATCTCATTGTGCTTTTATTATTACCCTGATAGTTAAATGATGTTGAACATCATTTCATGTGCTTATTTGCCATTTATATATCTTCATATGTGAAATCTCTCTTCATGTCTTTTGTTCATGTTTTGACTGGATTTTAACTTTTTAATTCTGAGAGTTCTTTATATATTCTAGATACTAGTCCTTTGTTCCACATTATTTTCTCCCTGTATGTAGCTTGTCTTTCCAATCTCTTAACAGGGTATTTCATAGAGCAATAGTTTTAAATTTTAGTTGGATCAAAGTTATCATTTTTTCCAAGAAAATCGTGCTTTTTAAAAAAAAAAAAAAAAAACTAAGAACTATTTGCCTAGTCCTAGATCCTGAAGATTTTCTCCCATATTGTTTTTTTCTAAATGTTTATATTTCTTCATTTTAAGTCCATGACATATTGTGATTTAATTTTTGCATAAGGTATCAGACTTACATTGAAGCTTATTTGTTTTTCTATTGATGTCCAATTGCTACAGCATTATTTGTTAAAAAGTCTATCTTCTCTCCATTGAATTACTTTTGACCTTTGTCAAAAATAAGTTGGGCATACAAATATACTCATATTTGTATAATTCTGTGTTTTCTAGCTTGTTTTATTAAGTGTCTATCACTTTTCCAATATAACATAGTCTTGATCACTGTAGCTACATAATGACTTTTGGAATCAGAAGATGCATTCCTCCCACTTCATTCTGCCTTTTCCCATTGTTTTACCTATTCCAATTCCTTTGATTATTTCTTGAAGTACTTTCTCAGTACTACCCTCTTCCTTTACCTTCTAAGCTTGTCTGAAATGAATGTTCAATCTTTGTTACTATTCCATGGGTGCCTGAGGCTCTTTTCTGTCTTTATGCTTTTATGGTCTATCTTCTTTATTACTCAAAGTGGATACAGGTTGAGTATCTTTAATTTGAAAGGCTTAGGACCAGAAGTATTTCACATTCCTATTTTTTTTTCTTTCAAATTTTGAAGCATTTCTGGTTTTGCATTTTCAGATTTGGAATGCTCAACCTATAATTTGTAATGATCTATCTTTTAGTTTCTTGACTCTTTTCAATGTTCCCTCCATTCTGCTGTGGAGCTCATCTACTGAGCTTTTTATTTGCATTATTGTATTTTTCAATTCTAAGATTTCCAGTTAGTTCTTCCTTTTTTATGTCTTCTATTTCTTTGCTCAGATTTTTTATTCTTTCATTTGCTTCAAGCATGTTCATTAGTGCTTGAGCTATGTTATGTCTGCTTTAAAATTTTTATTAGATAATTCTAACATCTGTTATATTGTGTTAGTATCTATTGATTGTCTCTTTTCATTCAGTTTGAACTTTTCCTGGTTCTGGATATGATAAATAAAGCTCAATTGAAATGTGCATATTTCCATATTATATTATGACACTCTGGATAATATTTACGCCTTCTGTTTCAGCTGGCTTTATCTGCTGCTCCAGTAGGAAGAGGGGTGGCACTGCTTTCTTACAGCCACATGAAGTAGAAATTCAGGTTCTTCACACAGTCTTTGACACTTTGGGAGTGGAGATCCTCATTACTGCCAGACTCCCTATGGGGTCTCCACTCACCATTCTATGGAGTCATCTCATTATCACTGGTGATGATGAAAGTCCCCACTCTTCACTAGGCCACCTCAGATACCAGCTTAATGTGGAGGGAAGAGGATGGGGTGCAGTTTCAGGTTCTTCATATAGCCTCTGCTGACAGGATACAGAAGGGACAGAGACTCATCAATGGCTTCTGAGCAAAAGCTTTAGTGTCCCCCATTGGCCTTATTGGTTCGTGTTCTCTCATTGGTCACCCAGAGGGGATGTTGGAGAACCTTATTACAACAATTAGAGGGTAAAAATCTAGATTCTCCAGTTTGTCTTTGCCAATATGGATGGAGGTGTGGCCACATGTTCTCATGGAGTGTTCAGTTGGAGTCCAGCAGTTATTGTCTAAAAGATTTATCTTGTTAGGCTAAGCCTTTCCTGAGAAAGAATCAACCTAACTGATCTTTTGGACAGGCTTCATTTCTCAGAAAACAGGGTTATGTTGGGTTCTTTTTATCTGTTCTTGTTAATGTTTCTGGATGGCCAGTTTCTTCGGCTCCAAACTAGAGATAAATGTTTGTAAAAGAAAATACTCAAGGTACTTGCCATCATGTCATTTCTTGGGTCCTGACGTTCCCAGCCAGTTTGCCTTAATTACGTTTTCTTAGGTCTGTTTTATACATAATGTCCAGGGATTTTAGTTGTACTTAGTGGAAGGAATATTTGTCATACGTATTATCCTCTATTCATGCAAGGCAATTTAAAATTTCCTAGACACTGTCAGTTCTCTTGCAAATCTTTGCTTTTGTTGGATTCCAAGAACATAAATCAATTTTCTTCTTCCATCTATCCCCATTTAACAGATTAGGAGAGTAAGACAGAATAATTCAGTCAGTCATTTAGTTAGGAATAGGCAAACTCTGGATGTGAACACAGAACTTCATGCCTATAAACTTATTTCCCCCCACAACACACTGCCTCACGCTGGGTGTCACATCATGATCTGCATAAGCCTCAGAAGCATACAGGCATAGTTTAAAATTCCGTGTCCTCATCCAAGAGCTTTGAGACTTTAAGTAACTCATTAAGCAATTGAACTTCTCTGAATCTCTGTTTCTTCCTCTATAAATAATAATAGGAATAAGGATATCTATTTTCCAGGTTTTATTATGAGTAGTAATAATAAATATAAGTCACTTCTTACAATGGCCGGCCTAAAGTAGTTATTCAGTACAGGATAGACATATTGCCATTGCTAGTTTCTGTATTTACAAAATATAAGGAATAAAATGTGCATAACAGAAAACCTTAAAGAAATGGGAGACTAAAAAGGAGCTTGAGCCAGTTCTAGAGATTCAAAATTGTTTCTCAATTCGACAATGTGTAGCAGAGAGCATGAGCCTTAGCAGATTATTTACATATGTATTACAGATGCATTATGGTTATTCATGTGTTTGCCTCCCTCATTATACTGCAAACTTTTCAGGGAAGGAAACTTTCTTTGGCTAACTGTGAATCTCCATCAGGGTTTTACAGAAGGAAAATGCTTAACTAATAATTATCATATTAAATTAAGTTGATCTTTTGACTATCTACTATTCATTTTCACTGTTTATAAAATTGTGTCTTAACATCACACTGACTGGGGTGTGAAGACATTTGAGTTTCAAGAGCAAATGCTGAAAAAATATACCCTGCCCCAAACTAAAGCTCTTGATTAAAGCTCTGAACACAAGGTGACATAATGGGACAATGAGTGCTGGAAACTAACAACCACTTATATTCAACAGTAGTATTAACAAATTTCTGACCAGTATGAATCTATCGGATTTGGAAATGAGAAATATAAATTGTGGGAATTGTTGAGAATTTCTGAAATCATAAGTTATGTTGTATTTTATTAAAATTTTAAAAATTGGAGCTTATAGCAAATATTCAAACACTTAGAAATGCCAGACAACATTATTGGCTTATATGTGGATAATATAGCAATAGACTTCCTAACAAGGGTTAATAGCACTATCCAGGATCATGTGCTGGATTATTAACTTAAAGACTTATTTTGCTTTCAAATCCTATTTACTGGGGTAGCCTTTATATCAGGTGTGTAAAATGTACTATTTACATAAACTAATTAGTATTTGTGTTCTAAGACTGACTATTAGCAGTCGACACTGTGCAAAACACATAATGATAACATAGTAACAGCTACCAGCGAGACATACTAATTAGAATATATCCCGACTGAATCTTTACTTCGTGTTATTGGAAATGGAAATGCTGACCTTAACCTGTGGCTTTGCATGTCAGCATTCCCTCCTCTTACTTTCAATTTGAATTAGGTTCCTTTGAACCAGTAATATCTCTAATGTTGGTGGTTCAGATTTACTTTTCACAGAAATACAATAATTTTTTTTCCTGATTTCTCAACTGATTTTTTACTTCAGATTTACAGAATCATACAAATTTTTCAACAAATGTCAAGAAGGAATTTCCTAAAGAAAACAGTAAATTTCCTATTGAAAACAGTAAATAACCATCTGGGTATTAGGGTCAATATTTTCCAGTTATGCAACATAATTTAGATAAGTAATAAGTTTCCTTTAACAAATAGCATTGTTAATATTTTGAAAATATTTTAATAATTATTTTTCAGAAATATTGACACCTCTGTTGACATATCTAAAAATATAAAATCATTTAGGATCTACAGATGAATAGCTCTTCTGTATTTCTCTTTTTTTCATTAAAAATAATACCAGGTACAATCAGATTTTGCACTTTTTAAAATACTTTGTTTCTGCACTTTACACATAGGAAATTTCTAACATATCTGACTAGTCTTTATCTTTCCTCTTAAAGAGTATCATATCCAAGTTTATTGGCTTTTAAAAAATAAATTATTGTATACACAGAGTTTTAGCAGTTTAAATTTTAAAAGAATATTGCATTCATACAACAACTTTATTGAGAAGAAAACTTTCACATTTTATTTTTTTAACATGATATTTTATGGAAATTGCATTTTTTTATTATTATACTTTAAGTTCTAGGGTACATGTGCACAACGTGCAAGTTTGTTACATATGTCTACATGTGCCATGTTGGTGTACTGCACCCATTAACTCATCACTTACATTAGGTATATCTCCTAATGCTATCCCTCCCCGCTCCCCCAACCCCACAACAGGCCCTGGTGTGTGATGTTCCCCTTCCTGTGTCCAAGTGTTCTCACTGTTCAATTCCCACCTATGAGTGAGAACATGTGGTGTTTGGTTTTTTGTCCTTGCCATAGTTTGCTCAGAATGATGGTTTCCAGCTTCATCCATGTCCCTACAAAGGACATGAACTCATACTTTTTTATGGCTGCATAGTATTCCATGGTGTATATGTGCCACATTTTCTTAATCCAGTCTATCATTGTGGGACATTTGGGTTGGTTCCAACTCTTTGCTATTGTGAATAGTGTCACAATAAACATACCTCTGCATGTGTCTTTATAGCAGCATGATTTATAATCCTTTGGGTATATACCCAGTACTGGAATGGCTGGGTCAAATGGTATTTCTAGTTCTAGATCCTTGAGGAATCACCACACTGACTTCCACAATGGCTGAACTAGTTTACAGTCCAACCAACAGTGTAAAAGTGATCCTATTTCTCCACATCCTCTCCAGCACCTGTTGTTTCCTGACTTTTTAATGATTGCCATTCTAACTGGTGTGAGATGGTATCTCATTGTGGTTTTGATTTGCATTTCTCTGATGGCCAGTGATGATGAGCATTTTTTCTTGTGTCTGTTGGTTGCATAAATGTCTTCTTTTGAGAAGTGTCTGTTCATATACTTCGCCCACTTGTTGATGGGGTTATTTTTTTCTTGTAAATTTGTTTGAGTTCTTTGTAGATTCTGGATATTAGCCCTTTGTCAGATGAGTAGGTTGCAAAAATTTTCTCCCATTCTGTAGGTTGCCTGTTCACTCTGATGGTAGTTTCTTTTGCTGTGCAGAAGCTCTTTAGTTTAATTAGATCCCATTTCTCAATTTTGGCTTTTGTTGCCATTGCTTTTGATGTTTTAGACATGAAGTCCTTGCCCATGCCTATGTCCTGAATGGTATTGCCTAGGTTTTCTGCTAGAGTTTTTATGATTTTAGGTCTAATGTTTAAGTCTTTAATCCATCTTGAATTAATTTTTGTATAAGGTGTAAGGAAGGGATCCAGTTTCAGCTTTCTACATATGGCTAGCCAGTTTTCCCAGCACCATTTATTAAATAGGGAATTCTTTCCCCGTTTCTTCTTTTTGTCAGGTTTGTCAAAGATCAGATGGTTGTAGATGTGTGGTATTATTTATGAGGACTCTATTCTGTTCCATTGGTCTCCATCTCTGTTTTGGTACCAGTACCATGTTGTTTTGGTTACTGTAGCCTTGTAGTATAGTTTGAAGTCAGGTAGTGTGATGCCTCCAGCTTTGTTCTTTTGGCTTAGGATTGACTTGACAATGAGGGCTCTTTTTTGTTTCCATACAAACTTTAAAGTAGTTTTTTCCAATTCTGTGAAGAAAGTCATTGGTAGATTGATGGGGATGGCATTGAATCTATAAATTACCTTGGGCAGTATGGTCATTTTCACGATATTGATTCTTCCTATCCATGAGCGTGGAATGTTCTTCCATTTGCTTGTGTTGTCTTTTATTTCGTTGAGCAATGGTTTGTAGTTCTCCTTGAAGAGGTCCTTCACATCCCTTGTGAGTTGGATTCCTAGGTATTTTATTCTCTTTGAAGTAATTGTGAATGGGAGTTCACTCGTGATTTGGCTCTCTGTTTGTCTATTATTGGTGTATAGGAATACTTCTGATTTTTGCACACTGATTTTGTATTCTTAGACTTCGCTGAAGTTGCTTATCAGCTTAAGGAGATTTTGGGCTCAGACGATGGGGTTTTCTAAATATACAATCACGTTATCTGCAAACAGGGACAATTTGACTTCCTCTTTTCCTAACTGAATACCCTTTATTTCTTTCTCCTGCCTGATTGCTCTGGCCAGAACTTCCAACACTATGTTGAATAGGAGTGGTGAGAGAGGGCATCCTTGTCTTGTGCCAGTTTTCAAAGGGAATGCTTCCAGTTTTTGTCCATTCAGTATGATATTGGCTGTGGGTTTGTCATAAATAGCTCTTATTATTTTGAGATACGTCCCATCAATACCTAATTTATTAAGAATTTTTAGCATGAAGGGCTGTTGAATTTTGTCAAAGGCCTTTTCTGCATCTATTGAGATAACCATGTGGTTTTTGTCTTTGGTTCTGTTTATATGCTGGATTATGTTTATTGATTTGCACATGTTGAACCAGCCTTGCATCCCAGGGATGAAGTCCATTTGATCATGGGGGATAAGCTTTTGGATGTGCTGCTGTATTCGGTTTGCCAATATTTTACTAAGGATTTTTGCATCAATGTTTATCAGGGATATCTGTCTAAAATTCTCTTTTTTTGTGTGTCTCTGCCAGGCTTTGGTATCACGATGATGCTGGCCTCATAAAATTAGTTAGGGAGGATTCTCTCTTTTTCTACTGATTGGAATAGTCTCAGAAGGAATGGTACCAGCTCCTCCTTGTACCTCTGGTAGAATTCGGCTGTGAATCCATCTGGTCCTGGACTTTTTTTGATTGGTAGTCTATTCATTATTGCCTCAATTTCAGAGCCTGTTATTGATCTATTCAGGGATACAACTTCTTCCTGCTTTAGTCTTGGGAGGGTGTATGTGTACAGGAATTTATCCATTTCTTCTAGATTTTCTAGTTTATTTGCATAGAGGTGTTTGTAGTATTCCCTGATGGTAGTTTGTATTTCTGTGGGATCGGTGGTGATATCCCCTTTGTCATTTTTTATTGCGTCTATTTGATTCTTCTCTCTTTTCTTCTTTATTATTAGCCTTGCTAGAAGTCTATCAATTTTGTTGATCTTTTCAAAAAACCAACTCCTGGATTCATTGATTTTTTTGAAGGGTTTTTTGTGTCTCTATCTCCTTCAGTTGTTCAGTTTCCATGTAGTTGAGAGGTTTTGGGTGAGGGGGTTACCTGAATATTACTTCCTGTATGTGGCTTTTTGTCAGCTAACATTGGCTAGACCTTAAGTTTTGCCAACTGTAAATGAGTTGGAATGAATTTTAAGTTATGTACCCTTTTAAAATAAATTGAACTAATTAATGATTAAAATAAATGACTAAGTTTTATCTACACATGTTGTAAAATATTTGCCTTAGAATTTCTTATGCATGTCAATACACATATCTTTGGGGATATATAAGCTATTAAGCCACAGAATTTGAAACATGTATAATGTATTCAATATGGAATCTTCCAACACAAGCTTGATGCTTTTAATGAAATATGATTATACCATCAATAAGACTAATCATTGTTCTATTACGGAAAGAGAAAAACTGAGTAATGGGTCTGTAGGTGGGAGATCTGAGATTTCGATCAGTTAACCACTATATTCTCTAATCAATTATGAACAATGTATGAAAATTCATAGAGTATTTTACAAAATAATGAAGGTGACATCCCACAAACTCTAAAGAGAAAGTCCAATTAATATGTTCAATAAACATGGAGATAATCCTTCAGTAGTCTTACTGAATTATATACCTAAGTGCTAGTAAGATACTAACATGAGCGGATTGATTGAAGATGAATAGGATTGATCAGGGAAAGCTTCACCAAGGAGATGAAATCTACGGTAGTGCTTTCAAGGCAGGCAAGACCATAAATGTGTAGAGAGATAGTAAACGTCGAGAAATATGGATGTATGGAAGTGAGAAAGAGAGGAATACTAAAACTCTGGCTAAAATTGAGTATCTCAATAGGGATTTTTTTTTTTTTTTTTTTTTTAGTGATTTAAAGTCTGTATTGGGTTGGGAGTGGTATTTAGTTTTTGATCTTGAAATGCACCCTAAGTAGATGAAAGTTAGGCTCCATAATCATCATTATCCTCCAAGAACTTTCAAGAATAAAAAATAAATAATATTAAAAGTCTCCCACACAATAATAATGGGAGACATTAACAACCTACTGTCAACATTAGACAGACCAACGAGACAGAAAGTTAACAAGGATATCCAGGAATTGAACTCAGCTCTGCACCAAGTGGACCTAATAGACATCTACAGAACTCTCCACCCCAAATCAACAGAATATACATTCTTTTCAGCACCACACAACACCTATTCCAAAACTGACCACATAGTTGGAAGTAAAGCATTCCTCAGCAAATGTAAAAGAACAGAAATTATAACAAACTGTCTGTCAGACCACAGTGCAATCAAACTAGAACTCAGGATTAAGAAACTCACTCAAAACCGCTCAACTACATGGAAACTGAACAACCTGCTCCTGAATGACTACTGGGTACATAATGAAATGAAGGCAGAAATAAAGATGTTCTTTGAAACCAATCAGAACAAAGACACAACATACCAGAATCTCTGGGACACATTTAAAGCAGTGTGTAGAGGGAAATTTATACCACTAAATGCCCACAAGAGAAAGCAGGAAAGATCTCAAATTGACACTCTAACATCACAATTAAAAGAACTAGAGAAGCAAGAGCAAACACATTCAAAAGCTAGCAGAAGGCAAGAAATAACTAAAATCAGAGCAGAACTGAAGGAAATAGAGACACAAAAAACCCTTCAAAAAATCAATGAATCCAGGAACTGGTTTCTTGAAAAGATCAACAAAATTGATAGGCTGCTAGCAAGACTAATAAAGAAGAAAAGAGAGAAGAATCAAATAGATGCAATAAAAAATGATAAAGGGGATATCACCATCGATCCCACAGAAATACAAACTACCATCACAGAATACTATAAACACCTCTACGCAAATAAACTAGAAAATCTAGAAGAAATGGATAAATTCCTGGACACATGCACTCTCCCAAGACTAAACCAGGAAGAAGTTATATCCCTGAATAGATCAATAACAGGCTCTGAAATTGAGTCAATAATTAATAGCTTACCAACCAAAAAGAGTCCAGGACCAGATGGATTCACAGTCGAATTCTACCAGAGGTACAAGGAAGAGCTGGTACCATTCCTTCTGAAACTATTCCAATCAATAGAAAAAGAGAGAATCCTCCCTAACGCATTTTATGAGGCCAGCATCATCGTGATACCAAAGCCTGGCAGAGACACAACAAAAAAAGATAATTTTAGACCAATATCCTTGATGAACATCGATGCAAAAATCCTCAATAAAATACTGGCAAACCGAAACCAGCAACACATTAAAAAGCTTATCCACCATGATCAAGTGGGCTTCATCCCTGGGATGTAAGGCTGGTTCAACATATAAAAATCAGTAAACGTAATCCAGCATATAAACAGAACCAAAGACAAAAACCACATGATTATCTCAATAGATGCAGAAAAGGCCTTTGACAAAATTCAAAAGCCCTTCATGCTAAAAATTCTTAATAAATTAGGTATTGATGGGACGTATCTCAAAATAATAAGAGCTATTTATGACAAACCCACAGCCAATATCATACTGAATGGACAAAAACTGGAAGCATCCCCTTTGAAAACTGGCACAAGACAAGGATGCCCTCTCTCACCATTCCTATTCAACATAGTGTTGGAAATTCTGGCCAGGGCAATCAAGCAGGAGAAAGAAATAAAGGGTATTCAATTAGGAAAAGAGGAAGTCAAGTTGTCCCTGTTTGCAGATAACATGATTGTATATCTAGAAAACCCCATCGTCTCAGCCCAAAATCTCCTTAAGCTGATAAGCAACTTCAGCAAAGTCTCAGGATACAAAATCAATGTGTGAAAATCACAAGCATTCTTATACACCCATAACAGACAGAGAGCCAAATCGTGAGTGAACTCCCATTCACGATTACTTCAAAGAGAATAAAATACCTAGGAATCCAACTTACAAGGGATGTGAAGGACCTCTTCAAGGAGAACTACAAACCACTGTTCAATGGAATAAAAGAGGATACAAACAAATGGAAGAACATTCCATGCTCATGGGTAGGAAGAATCAATATCATGAAAATGGCCATACTGCCCAAGGTAATTTATATATTCAATGCCATCCCCATCAAGCTACCAATGACTTTCTTCACAGAATTGGAAAAAACTACTTTAAAGTTTATATGAAAACAAAAAAGAGCCCGCATTGTCAAGTCAATCCTAAGCCAAAAGAACAAAGCTGGAGGCATCACACTACCTGACTTCAAACTATACTACAAGGCTACAGTAACCAAAACAGCATGGTACTGGTACCAAAACAGAGATATAGATCAATGGAACAGAACAGAGCCCTCAGAAATAGTGCCGCATATCTACAACTATCTGATCTTTGACAAACCTGACAAAAACAAGAAATGGGGAAAGGATTCCCTATTTAATAAATGGTGCTGGGAAAACTGGCTAGCCATATGTAGAAAGCTGAAACTGGATCCCTTCCTTACACCTTATACAAAAATTAATTCAAGATGGATTAAAGACTTAAACATTAGACCTAAAACCATAAAAACTCTAGAAGAAAGCCTAGGCAATACCATTCAGGACATAGGCACGGGCAAAGACTTCATGTCTCAAACACCAAAAGCAATGGCAACAAAAGCCAAAATTGACAAGTGGGATCTAATTAAACTAAAGAGCTTCTGCACAGCAAAAGAAACTACCATCAGAGTGAACAGGCAACCTAGAGAATGGGAGAAAATTTTTGCAACCTATTCATCTGACAAAGGGCTAATATCCAGAATCTACAATGAACTCTAACAAATTTACAAGAAAAAAACAAACAACCCCATCAACAAGTGGGTGAAGGATATGAACAGACACTTCTCAAAAGAAGACATTTATGCAGCCAAAAAACACATGAAAAAATGCTCATCATCACTGGACATCAGAGAAATGCAAATCAAAACCACAATGAGATACCATCTCACACCAGTTAGAATGGCGATCATTAAAAAGTCAGGAAACAACAGGTGCTGGAGAGGATGTGGAGAAATAGGAACACTTTTACACTGTTGGTGGGACTGCAAACTAGTTCAACCATTGTGGATGTCGGTATGGCGATTCCTCAGGGATCTGGAACTAGAAATACCATTTGACCCAGTCATCCCATTACTCGGTATACAACCCAAAGGATTATAAATCATGCTACTAGAAAGACACATGCACACGTATGTTTATTGTGGCACTATTCACAATAGCAAAGACTTGGAACCAACCCAAATGTCCCACAATGATAGACTGGATTAAGAAAATGTGGCACATATACACCATGGAATACTATGTAGCCATAAAAAAGGATGAGTTCATGTCCTTTGTAGGGACATGGGTGAAGCTGGAAACCATCATTCTGAGCAAACTATGGCAAGGACAAAAAACCAAACACCACATGTTCTCACTCATAGGTGGGAATTGAACAATGAGAACACATGGACACAGGAAGGGGAACATCACACACCGGGGACTGTTGTGGGGTGCGGGGTGTGGGGAGGGGGGACGGATAGCATTAGGAGATATACCTAATGCTAAATGATGAGTTAATGGGTGCAGCACACCAACATGGCACATGTAGACATATGTAACAAACCTGCAGGTTGTGCACGTGTACCCTAGAACTTAAAGTATAATAATAATAATAATAATAAAAGATATATGGATTATGGGTAAAATTTTAATACGTAAAAGTTTTGAGGAAGAATTATAAATACCTGTGACCAACAATAGTAGTTACATCTATTTTCTTAAAAGGCAAAATTATTTTTAAGAGGAATATAATTCACTAAAAGTAAATGTTTAAATAAAACCAAATAATTTTAAGTGCGATTCATTCAAGCATCATGTGTGGTGGTGATGAGGAAAGCCAAATACTTATTTTTATCATAATCAGAGAAATGTCCAGGAGTAAATAGATATCTGAAAGACATTCTTTAGCCAGCAACAGTAACAGCAGATGCTGCTAGGGATCAGATAAAATACAGAATATATCTTTTCTTTTTTTTCTGCTCATGTCATCTATGGCCATAAAAAAATAATAAGCTTGTAATTATGCAACTTGCTGATATACTTATTTTAAATGGAACCTTGATTGTTTACAAATCAAGTTTTTCACTCTACTAGCACAAATGGTGGGATTTTTATTACTTCTCGTTGGCAATAAACTTGGTTATGTATAAAAAAGCATGCAAATCAAATACTATCAGTATTTTTTTTTTCAATTTGTCTTTATCTTAGTACCCTTAATGTAGTAATGAAGAGTAGCACTGATTTATGCGACAAGGCTTGATCAGAATGCAAGTAAAAATAAATGTTTTATTTGCTAATTTTTATACCATTACCCAGAATTATTTCTCAAGTCTCAACTACTTCTTGTTATGGTTAGCATCTATGTTATTGTTAAGTAATGGAGTATCTTTCAGTTTGTAAAGAGCACTTTAGAAATTAAGAAACTGGCATCACAAAGAACATTTTGAGGATTTAAATATCCTCAGGCAGAAAAAGCTTGTCTTCTCTGAGATAATCAGGAAAATATGATCATGATTAAAATAATTTTGCCTTCTTTCAGTAGTACTGAAAATTCTATAGTTCAAGAGAAGTTATGTACAGTACAGGAGATTAAAACTAGTTGGCAAAGATTTTGCTTGAAATAGAAATTGAGAATGTCTTCTGTGAAATTCTCTCATTATATATTACACAGCATAACGGCCTTTAATTTAGTTACGTCCCTCAGAGCACAGTGTGTTTACTTATTCCTGCAGAATCACAGTTAAAGGAGAACCATGTAACTTTTAAGGCAACAGAATTCATGTGTTACTTAATCTCATTTCTCCAGTTCTATGTACCTTTTGCACATCAGTCTACCAAGGCTTTGTATTTTTATTAAAAACAAACAAACAAATAAAAACTAAGTGACTTGTCTTATTCTTTCAACAAATATTTAAGTAAGGCCTACATAGAAAGTAAATAAGCAGAGTTTGGTTTCTGTCTTCCATAAAGTTAAAATCTAGACAGGATATCAACTTTTTCAAAGTATTATTTGAATGAATATGTTTTAAATGGAAGTAAAGTACAGCAATACCATAATAAGGTGTTTTGTTTGGTTGGTTGTTTGGCTTGTTGCAAGAGGATCAATTGCTAAAGGAGTTTAATTTCCTCAAGAAAGAGGACTCATGGGGGGAATCCTGAAAGGCATCATGGCTGGCTATTTTCCAAGGAAGACAGGTAATGCTTGGTGCAGGTCATCGGGAGTAGATAATCAACTTGTTTTTGTTGACAGTCTAAAAGAAGAACCCATGAGACCCTTGGAAGATGGACAGGACAAGAAAACAGATAGGGGTTGGGAGAAAACTCTAAATTCCAATCACTCTACAGGTTGGCAGTAAGGACTGTTCTTGAAGCTGCTGAAGCAAAAATAGAGAAACGAGTCCAGAAATACACGCCAGAATATTCTTGACCAAGTTAAACTGATTAGGCTTTTTTCCTGAAAGTCATAGTAGGAAAAAGGAAATTCCTCTGGTTGGTCTTCCCAGTTACCCAAATGATCCTAGGGGAGTTAGGAGCCCTGATTTCTGAAATCAGGCTGGAGTGCCACCCCTGAGTTACAGGGAGAGGAGACCATATGTACCTGTAAGTGTTGCAAAGGTTTGAAAAGGGGCTTTTGTATGGGTGAGAGCATTCACATTAAGGCTCACATGGTAGAAGGTACTTAAAATTGTTCTTGCTGTACAGGATTTAAATGGACAGATTGACAACTTATATTCTAGCAAAAGTGCCCCTTCAACTTTAAGTAGAACACTCCGCAATTACCGAGCTTCTTAAGAGAATTACATTGTCAAATCTTCTCAGGAGATTCTTTATTGTTATGAGTCTTTTAGGTACATTAACCTTGCAGAAAATGGTGGTAGAAGTGATTCTCAGAATTTCTAATATATATGTCTCTCAACTATAACATCTAACTTTTTAAGCTGTGTATTTTTTCTAGTGTAACAACCACAAGCACTTGCTGATGAAATATCTCCGTATTATATTTTTCTAATTTATGTTTTCACTCTTTGTTTTTTTTGTTTTGTTTTGTTTTGTTTTAGACAGGGCCTTGCTCTATCACCCAGGATGTAGTGCAGTGGCATGATCTCAGCTCACGGCAACCTCCATCTCCTGGGTTCAAGTGATTCTCCTGCCTCAGCCTCCTGAGTAGCCGGGATTACAAGCACGCACCACCATGCCTAGCTAATTTTATATTTTTAGTAGAAATATAAAAATTTTTGTCATCTTGGCCAGGCTGGTCTCAAACTCCTGACCTCTGGTGACCCATCTGCCTCAGCCTCTCAAAGTGCTGGGATTACAGGCATGAGCCACTATGCCCAGCCATAATTAATTAATTTATTAATATATATTCACCAAATCATTACTTAGGGCCTCATTTTTGCCAAGCACTGCACTAGGTCTGTAAATACAACAATGAAAAAAGCATGGTTATTTACTTAGTTTTATTGTACATATTTGTGGGGTACATTGTGAAATTTTGATGTATGTATACATGTATCTCTATACACGTTGTATAATAATTAAACCAAATAATTAACATATACATCACCTCGCCTAGTTATTTTTTTGCGATGAGAACACTTGAAATATACAATACATTATTATTTACTATAGTTACCATGGTGTTCAATATATCACTAAAACTTTCTCCTTGTGTCTAACCAAAACTTTGTACTCTTTGACCGACATCTCCCCTTTCCCCATCCCCAACTCCCTAAAAGAAAGGGATGAGGTTGCCTGAGATAGGGCATGAAGATAGGACTTTAGGAATAATATTGAAGGTAGGCTGACAACACTAGAGGCTGAATATTACTTCTTTCATTGTGTTTTGATAACGTGATCTCAGTTTTTCAGTGCTATATGTAACTGCTACATAAGCATGAGCTGTGTTTATGCCTGATACCAGTATCAAATATTAATCATGATGGGAACCTTCACTATATGTCTTACATCACAGAATTCTGATATTGGTCCAGAAACATATCAAAATAATGCCTCATTTTTATCATGTAAAAACATGTCATAAATTTAGCTAAACTCTTGAATTTCATTGAGATTTTTGGTGTATACATTGGTAAAATTGGAAGAACAATAAAGTTTAATATGTAAACATAAACATAATGTTGAACTTGCATGAAATCAAAATTTGTTAAACTTAGCAAAAGCATCTTAGAATACCTTTTGAAAACAGGATACAGAGAAAGAATGACTCATGGAGTTCATCTTAGAGTCATGGAAGTGGAATTTTTACCAAATAATTATTCAGAACCATTGCTATAATAAAGTAGCAAAAGCTAAACTCAAGCCAAAGACATAGAAAATGGTATTATTGCTTATTATAAGTAAAATTTTTGGTAAATGGGACTTTTAAACTAATTAATCATATTTAATATCTGGAATATAGCCAATGAAAATACTACCTTTTATAATTTTAATATACATAAATCAGAATGTTATAGATCTCAAGGGAAATTTAGAGTATTTACAAAAGCACAATTGTCCATAATAAAATGTGTACTTAAGATAGAATGGTATAAAACCAATCTACAAATGACCACAAAGTAACTTTTGCGTGCATATATATATATATACACCAAATTTAGCAAATGCATCTGCCTAACTATAATTTATTTACAATATGTCAAGAATTGACTTGAGATCTGCAATATAAGGTACCATAATAGCTCAGAGTAACATTTAACATTTATTACATTTTTACTGTACCAGTCAACTGGTTAGGCATGTTACATCACTTTATCCTTACAGCAACCTTAAGAGCTAGGTAAAAAACACTTTATAAAAGTAATTTAAATTAGGATTTTCAGAGGTTAAGAGGCTTGCTTTATTAGTCCATTCTCATGCTTCTATGAAGAAATACCCAAGACTGGGTAATTTATAAAGAAGAGAGGTTTAATTGACTCACAGTTATGTATGGCTGGGGAGGCCTCAGGAAACTTACAATCATGGCAGAAAGAACCTCTTCACAGGGCAACAGGAGAGAGAATGAGTGCAAGCAGGGAAAATGCCAAAGGCTTATAAAACCATCAGATCTCCTGAGACTACTCAATATCATGAGCCCAGCGTGGAGGAAACCACTGCCATGATTCAATTACCTCTACCTGGTCCTGCCCTTGACACATAGGGATTATGAGGATTACAATTCAAGGTGAGATTTGGGTAGAGAAACAGAACCAAACCATATCACTTGCTTAAAAATACTTAACTGGAAAATATAAGAGCCTTGACTGAAATTCACTTCTCTATGACTCCAATTCTCATTGTCCTTGACACTGAGAGTACAGACAGACATTGACTTCATTCATTTAAAATAAACACCAACAAAGAAGAAATAATTTTTACACAATAATGTATATACATTTTATTTTTATATATTTATAGATTCTCTAACATTATATACATGTTTACATGTATTCTTTAATTTTTCTGTAAGTTATTTGGCATTAATCTAGTTGTCTTGATGAAATTTTCACTTTCTTTTATTTGCCCCCAAATTCAAAATATAATGTTCATACTTTTTAAGAAAAATAATTTTCATCAAAGTGAAACTTTGAAAACTGAAATTTGGGTTTATGTGCAATATTGCAAATATGTCTCGTCTTGTCAAAATAACATATGTTTCCTGACAATACAGAGAAGCAACATATTTTAATCATGTCAATATATTTCAATATATTAAAGATCTCCTATGTATCTATAATTCTCACATCCACGAATATTTATATTATCTGAAAGATAAGATATGAGTCCTGTTTCTTCTGTATTTACAACGGAAAATGTTTCCACTACAATTTCTTACATTGTGAATTTTTTTTAGAGATGTAAGCATGTAGAAAATGTGATGAAAACCGTGGAAGCAGTTGACTTCCTTATTGAAAAGAAGGCTTTTTATGTATAAAATGGATATCCCTCTATCATAAAACAGTTATTTTGTGGGTTCTTATTTCTTTGCTTACATTCCTTTTTGTTAGATTGTTTTAATGATTCTTTATGCCCACATCTATTAATTGCTCACTTTCCAAGAAATATACATATACGCTCATAAGAATTTCAAGAATAAGACTGGTGAAACCTAAAGATATTTTTACCTTGTTAGTACAAGCTTTGTTTGAGTTACATACATCCAAAAAATAATTTGAATACAAGTAAATGTTTTCCTTTAACACTAGACAAGTAAGACTCTCTCAATGTAAGATGCTAAAAATTACCTTGGAGTAATTTTGGAGGAAAAAGAAAGATAAAATTCTGGATATTAGAGTGCATAAATATAACTTAGACTTAAACATGAGATTAAGAACATTAAGAAAATTAAACACAAGGCATAGAGAAATTAGAGGTCACTCAATCATATCTTTTGACATCTGATGGGTTTTGCAAAATTAATATGTTACTTGGTACCAGTTAACCAGGCACAAATTTCCATCTCTCTAGCTCTACTTTTGCCCCAACCCTGAATTCTTCATGATTAAAGGCTCTGCTCTTCCTTTAACATTTATTGATAAGCAATCTACATTTTAGAGCAAATCTTTATATCACATAGCATAGGTGCAGAGAAAAGGTAAGAATCAAGTGAGGAGCTATAAAGCAACATTAAAAAAATGGCATTGTCTCTCTTTTCCAAAATGGATATTTGCAATCAATCTACTAGTTAACTATAAATGGAACAATGTACTTTCTTCCTTTCTCCAAACTGGAGAAGAGACTTTTAGAAGAATCTGAGTAAACAGGAAAACTTAGTCTTATCTTACAAGTCAAGGAAGCAGTTATTAAGAACATATGGATAAGCATGAAATCAAATCTTATTCTCTGCAAAGGAGCAAAGTTTGAAAGTAGATGATTCCCTACTTAATAATGTGAAACACTAATTCCATAGAAGACCTGTAGCCTGGCAAACCATGGGGCAATTAGGAGAATAGTCCCCTCATTCTTAGAAAGCTTGGATGGAACTGTGTCTCAGAATTAATATCTGTTATTGTCCTGGAAGAAATAAATGTGTATGTTGGGGCAGAAAAATGTAAGTTTGTGTCTTATTTAAGTTATTAACTGAGAAACAGAGAGTCATATTTATATGACTGCAACTATTCCAATGAAGTAACAAAGAGCATAGACTTGGGAATGTTTTGCAGAAGAAAGATCATAGACCTGGGAATGTCTAGCCCTGGGAATGTCTAATGAACTGCTCTGTGGGCCACCCAGAATTTCTTGCTGGAACTCTGGATATATTTTGTTGCTTGGATATGTCAAATGTGGAAAAATAGATTGCTGGGGATGAATTTGGGACCCATACAAACTACATAAGTAGTTAGGTTTTCTGAAAAGTTGGCTGGAGATTGTACATTCAAAGTTTAAGGAAGAAGACAATTTTTACAGATAGGCAAAAACTCTTAATAGGGTATTAAATTTAGAAACTGAGGACATATAAGAGGATATATTTTTAGAAGACTACTATAGAAAGGGCTTATATCCTTAGGTGTTTTTCCTTTGGTCTATGTAAAAAATCTTACCTAGCATATAGTTCTAAATTTTATGCCCCATGTTCATTAATTACTGTAATGCTTATTCAAGTTTTATGTCCTATGTAGATAAGAAGAGAGATTCATAAGAGAATAAAGACATAAAGAAATTAAAAGAACCACAGCATATTGACACCTTTACTACCCTTTGTTCAACAGAAACATCATCCAAGTGATTGCGCCATGTCTAATACCTTCAGGTGTTCACTGTCACTGAAGTTAGTGTCAATCATGTTAGAGATGGGAAGACCTGAGAAAACTTATGACAGTGAGGTGGAGATAGACCGGGAAGAAATGTTAAAAATTCTTTTTCAAAATATACTACAGAACATGATAGGGCCTGTAAAAATGGCTTCATTCCCCTGAATCTTTTCTTTTTGTCATCTGTCAAAGAGGAATAAAAGGGGTATTTTGCTTTGCTCCTGGTTTTACAAATAATATGAAGTAACATATGAGAAAAACATTCTATAAATTAGGATAAGCCCTATAAATATAAGGCATAATTATAAAAATTAAATACAAAATCAGTGGCAGAGTTGTTTAATCATAGTCCTAATAGAAGGCTCTTTGATGTTAAATGATTTACTGCTGGAACCACAGTGCCACCTAAAGACTTCATACCAAAACTATAGGATTAACAATAATTGTTTTTGATTCTTTTTTTTTTCCTTCTTTGCTGTCTATATTGTGTCAACAAATGTGGATACTATATTGGCAATATTCCATCACAAAGTGTTCTGTAGTAGTTCCAGAATTGAATTCAGTTTATAATGTAAATCTCTCATCAAATAGTTAAGAGGTTTTTTTTAAAGACCTAAAAGCAAATGTGACCAGGAAACAGAACATACATAGAATTTATTTAATGACTTTACATTACATTGCTTTCTAAATGTAATAAGAATAACATTTTCAGAAAACTTAAGCAATTACATCCTTACTAATTTAATGCACATATTCTATACTAAGAAAAACATAGAAGAATATATTTAAACACATGCAGGAAAGAAAGGAAATAGAACAGACTGATTTAATGTATTAAGAAATGGCTTCAGGTCTTTCACTAATATTTACAAAGGACCAACACAGTTCATGTCCTCATAGGTAAGAAGTGATAAAGACAGATAATATAAAGATCAGTCTTACTATAAACATAGATGATGTAAGATAATAAATGAAACACAGGTATTATGGCTAAACATAGAAAACCAACTAGAGAAGTACAATTACAAAAGTCACTTCTTGAAATTCTGTTTAACTCCTTAAGTAAGTGTTTCTACTTTTGTCAGTCCCTTTAATGATACATTTTCATTTATGGTCCTACATGTCTTCAATAATTTTACCCTATAAAAGCAGAAGCAACAGATATGCTATTAGGCTAAAGTCCACAGGTTAATAGACGTTCTTTTTAAAAATTATAATTAATCCTTCAAAAATCCAAGAAAAAAATGGGTGCCTAGGCTTACCTTGTGTATGTATATGTGTGTGTTTGTGTGTGTATGTGTGTGTGTGTGTACATATATATATATATATGCAAGCTTATAAGAAGCATAGGTTGTATATAAAGTTAGGTTTTAGGGATACAATCTTTATTTAATAATCAGTGTTCATTGTACTTTTCCTCTGTAAATGGATGATTATCTCCTTCCAGAAAGTCAAGGAGTTGGCTATGAGCACGCAATTTCTAAGGAAAGCTGATGTCCAGGGATTCGAATTCCAGCCATTTCTCTAATTCTTTCCAAATCAGACACATGACAAACTCAACTAATAGGCTTACGGTAAATTCTTTTTTATAAGTAAATAAATTGAAGACCCTACAAATTGATTATATCTTTGTCATAATGGACAGATGTGCATGTGACCTGAATAATACTTGAGAAATTCTACAACCAAATGGAATTATATTCAGAAGTATCTAGTTTCATTTTTATCTCTCATAACCAAGACATACAATTTACAAGTTACCTTCTGTATGAGAACATATTTCTACAAAACAATATTAAAGGAAGGTCTCTGCCCTATACTTCTATAATCAAGAGGAACAATTACGAGAAGAAATAGTGGGTTTCTCTTTTTTGTGAAATTGGTTTTGTGAGATTGTGAAAAAAATTACTGTTTTTCCCAATGTTGTGGGACTGTGAAATAAATTACTTAACTACAATTTAAAAGCCTACTTAGATGTTGATAATGCTTAAAAGTGAGAAAAGTAGCTATTTAGACAGGGTGTTTCTCCTAAATCAAAAAATCCATCAACTACCATAAAATATAAAATAAAACACAAGACAGTCAATATTTTCAGTAAGATATGAGAATGTATTTTTTGTCACACAAGCTGAATCTGGGAGAGGACTATGATCTTTGTTCATAATTAAATAAGGGAAGCATTGCATATTTGTTACAAACTTTAAAAATCAAAGCATTTCAGAGCAACCATATAATATTCTTTGAGCAAATGTCAATTTTTAATGCTGAAGTTGAGATGATGTCTTTCAAATGCACAAAGATGAAATGTAACGGATTTTTTTGTTTGTTTGTTTTGATATGGAATCTCGCTCTGCTGCCCAGGCTGGAGTGCAGTGGCCCGGTCTCGGCTCACTGCAACCTCCACCTCCCAGGCTCAAGCGATTCTCCTGCCTCAGCATCCCGAGTAGCTGGGATTACAGGTGCCCATCACCATGCTCAGCTAATTTTTATATTTTTGTTAGAGACAGAGTTTCACCATGTTGGCCAGGCTGGTCTCGAACTCCTGACCTCAGGTGATCCGCCCACCTCAGCCTTCCAAAAATGCTGGGATTACATGCATGAGCCATTGCGCCTGGCCGTGGATGTCATATTTAAATTTATTAGAATATTCAAGAAGAATTTATAAAATTAAAAGATTGTCTAGTGGCTAATATAGGTAAGCCATAGTTTAAAAACTTTTATGTAATTAAATATGTACTTATAGGTTACAACACATAATCTCTAGTTGAAATATTATTAAAGAATTTTTATTAGCATTTTACTTCAACGTTCTTGAAATGTTGGTAACACGGCAGTCCATTATGACAATTATCGTGAGCAAATGCATGTGAATAGAGTTAGATAAAAGTAAAAGAGCATTATCAAGGGCAAAGTAAATAATAATTGAAAGATTACGTCAACATTTGGAGCTGACACTTAAGGCCTATCTGCCAAATATGACATTTTGGGGGGATTTTCAAAGCACATGGCTCTCAATTGTGTTCTGTGTTCTTCTCTGCCTTGTTTTAAAGAGCCTGCAGGATGCCCATTATCCATTCTGAGCTAACTTCTCTGAAGAGTGGGTATGGCCATTACCTACACTCCAGGTGACTCACACTTGGACAGAATGACAGGCAAATGGCAACAAGTTTCTGAAAAGGTACCAAGAACTTCTTTAAATTAACCTACTGTGGTGTAACTGGTTCACTTTTTTAAAACTTGAACAACAGCAATAACAACAAATGAAAATCTAATGAGGCACAGCTTGGAAGTACTCAAATAAGCATGTGGGAGAACCCCTTTTTCCTAAAGAAAACTCTAGGAATTTTATAATCCTAAATTGATCAACAGAGACCTTTTATCTGAGAACATGATTCTCTCAGATTGCACGGCAGCAGGAGTCTAAGAAAATGCTGTACCTATAAAATTAGATAAAGCCCAACAGCTTGAATTTGGACTTAGTTTTAAAGCGTTTATAAATTTCTATTAAGATTCCTTCATTAGCCTTTAATACTCAATTTTCTCCTTCTCGTGACTATATTATTACCAGAGGTCCTAGCCGAGATGACAGCAAAATCTAATTAGAATGTAACACATTTGGTTGTCACTTTTTCTACCTGAAACTAGTCACGCCTCCCTGAACAGACATGGGCTTAACCCTGAGGAGAGACTGAAAATTCATCACAGGCGAGTCACAGAGGTGTGACCAAGTTTAAGATGAAAAAATAATTATCAGATACAGCACTCTCAAATTCCTTGGCTTTAGAAATAATAAAATCTTGTTTGGCCAGAAATCCTGATGAATAGGATATTCTGACTAAATTGATTTTCTTCCTAAATTATGGTAAATTTATAGACTTTTTTATTATTTTTTAAAAAGAAGGTAAACTGTATTATTAAGAATCATGTTTGACATAATGGTAACAATAATATATTCATGATTCTTGTCCTTTTGGAGTTACGGGCCATATATATATATATATATATATATATATATATATATATATATGTAAATATACATCTATATAGATATGATGAACATAAATATACAGACTCTTTTTACAAAATTAGATATAAGTAAATTGGTTTAAAGGCAATATGTCAGTACTCCCTGAAGGTGACAAGTGACACATACTCAGGTAACAAGATGAGATGGCTGACCATTGGAGGTGGTCCTAGATGTATATTTCAGCATGTTAAAACATTTCTAAATGTAGTTGAAATTACTCCTGAATAAGATGGAGAGCACACCAAATAAAACCACTTTCTTGTTGGCTGAAGACACAATAAATAAAGCATCATGAATGAAATTATAGAGTCCATTCCTTATTGAAAATGTTGTAACTTGGCAAAGAAAAATCCTCCAAAGAGAAATATCAAGGGAAACTCCTGATTCATTAAATATGTAAAGCATATCCTAAATATCAGAATAAATCTGTTCTCTATTTGCCTCTCCCTCCCCATCAAGCTTTAGCAGGAAATGTATTTCAAGTTTACAGATTTCAAATATTTCCAGTTTTACCAATATCCAGTTGAACATCAACTGCTTTCTGTAATTTTAGTAACTAATGATATGGAATGTTTTAAGTCTGCATTGTCATGATGCTTCCTGTAGAAGTTGGGATAATGGCTTGTTAGGCAGCACAAAATGATCATAGGCTTCAGTTAGTTTTCAAAATGAATAAAAGTGTCCTGAGTGCCACTTTCATCAAGCAAGATAAACTACAGTATATTTACTGCCTTGATTCTGTTTCATAGAATAAGTTATTATTACATGTGTAAAGATGAAAAACACCACCAAAGATAGAGCAATATTAATTGAACTTGTGTATGATTTGAGAGTTGCTCTGAGGTGTGGGAGTTATGTGTTTCTTTAGAAAGAGTGCTTGATCTTCCTACAGATTCCTGTTGTGGATACATATCTATAAAGCACTACCATTGTTCCTAACCTAAAATCATCTTATAAATTCTGTAGTTTTTGCACTTGTGAAATACCACAGAATATCCTCGGACACTGGGTTACAAAATCTACTGGACTTGACAAAATGTATGAATTACATTTACAGAAATGATAGCTGTTGCTGCAATCTACTTTAGTAGTATATGATGAATTTGTATCAACCATAAACCAGTAAGTTTTTTTTTTTAAAAAAGCCATCTGCTATTGTATTTTTAATTGTGATACTCAGACATGACCTTCATTTTTGGTATGGTAATTCTTTGATTGCTGTTACATATCAAAAGTCTGCAAAAAGTGTATGGGGTTTCTGTTTGTCCAATCTGGCTACTTCAGGAATTTAAGCAGGCTACTGGTGGTCTGTCTTACAGTCTCCATGCCTAAAAGACTCAGGCCAAAGCAACAGAGAAGCTGAGGGTCTTAGAAATTGAATCCATTAGAACAGTTATTATATATTCCTCAATAAAATATGTTTAATTCAATAAAAATGAATAGTAAGCAATTTTTTTAAGATTTAGGGTTTTTGTCTATTTTTAACAAGAGGGTTCTACAGATCATTTAACTTTTAAATTAAGCTGCTTAAGTAATGAATTCATTGGTTGCTTGTACTAATTTATAACGGCCTTACCTTTGTGTCAACTGCAAAAATGTTAATTTTAAAACAAAAATTTTAGTAGAATCGACTATTTTAATTTTAGTGTGAAAGCATCCAGGTATTTCTCATAATGTCTATCTGCTCATCATTCATCCTACAAACCCAAAATGAAAACAGATTGGAAACTAACAGTTTAATGCTGGAATTGCCCTTAAGTAGAAGTAGGTATTTTTGCTGAGAAATAAAGAGCCAAATAAACAAGTAGAGAGAGGCTACTCTTTCCTGGAAATGTGGTGCCTGTCCAAAGCTGAAGACTTGTTATTTACTCTCTATTTTTCTCTGAATAAGTCAAACAACATCCCTTCCTTTATGAAAACCTCTCATTTTACACAAATTGCTACTTTCCAGAATGCATCTGGGTCACAGGGAAGATTCCAATTGTTTATGTCATCCTGGAATATAAAATCAATACTAAAATGAGTAGGTTGACTCAAATTGTTAAGCTACAGTTTCTTTAAAGTCATTGTGTGGGTTCTGGGATCAAGAGCAAAATTCATTTCGGTCCACCAGAACCATAGAAAATGATATTTATAAGGTAATATTAATACATATGGACAAGAATTTTAGAGTATCAAGATGAATTCTAGCTGAGGAGCAAGGAAGTAGATTCTGTAGCTCTCAGAAATTGGTGACGATTTCCAGTGTTTAAATATTCAGTATAGGTTATAGTTCTTTGTAAATACTTTAACAGAAGAAATGCAAAGAGAACAAGATGTGAATGTTGATGTGGAATATTCTAATATAAAATCATAACCTGATCTGGAATCTGAGTTACTGAAAGCAATCCAACAATGGCAAAGACACATCGGGGAGAACAGAAAAATATTTTCATCTTTATAGAAAGAAACTGATATAAAGCAAGACACTATCTAACACCCAACTTATGGAGACTTTTGTGAGCCCTAATGACAGTTCAACCAATGTCAACAAAAAAAGAAAGAAATTTCTCAATACCTATAATATTTGACACAAAACACAGGGTAATTAATGCTTTGTATACTTTAAAATTTATTTTTTAAATATTAATTTTTAAATACTAAGTATATGCTGCGTTGTCTTTCACTTTTAAATAATTTTATTGGGTATTTATTTTGTCTTAATATCCCATTTTTTAAAAATTAAATATCTAAATCCAGCAGAGATATTTACACATTAGATATGTAATCATGTCACTATATATCAGTTCATACTATATTCATTTATGATTACATTATATTTGTTTTACAGAAAATTTCTGCAACTTATAATATCATAAAATATCAGGAAAAAATGACTTGTTTAGTGTTATGCTCACTTATCATAATCTAAACACGCTAAAATAACTTATAACATGAATATTTCCTAAAAATCTGGGAATTCTGACTTCTCATTTCCAAGTTCTGAAGATTGATATTTGTCAGAAATTTTGAAACATTACATGAAGAGCAATTAGAATTCCATAACATAGAGGAACAGTGGAGATTTCTTTGTTTGATTTTCTTTCAATGTTTGGTAATTTATGTGTCTGAGACATTTTCTAATTTTAATTAAACCTACCCTCACAAAACAGACAACTAGCCTAAAAAAATCCCTTCAAAGAAATCACAAGACCAACATTCATAAGACATGACTCAAGCAAACAGCAAGGAGTAGAGGAAATAAGAGAGACACCACCATATAAGGCCCTTTGTCAGCCATGTTACTTTGTGGTCTTCCAGTGAGTGAGAGAAGGAGGATAAATAAAAACTGAAAGAAAGACAAATCAATCAGTAAATAAATAAAATATAACTGATAAGGGCTAAGTTGAAATACAAACTGTGAAATGTAGCAAATGTGCAGTTGGCAGATTTACCAATCCAGGCAATGGCATAGCTGGTCCTGGGATGGTCTCACCCAAATGGTGAGCCTGGCCCTGAGAGGGACAGCAGAGCATCTGTGCTTTTAGGAGAAAAGAAAGTAGTTGAACGGGTCATAACCAGTTTATTTTTCCCAAATTGACTCATCAGATAAATCAATCCTCCTCTAATCTCCAGGGATGAAACAAAAGAAAGGGTAAAAAGAGGTGAGAGTTGTAATAGAGAATTCCTTCATTCTAAACAGCCTCTTTTTTTTCACATTTTAATGTCTCTGAGATCTAATAGTGCCTCTAATAATCAATGATGTTTTAAGATTGCTGCTGGACAAGCATCAGGAATGATAGTTGTCAATGCTTTGTCATGGTTAACTTGGTTGTTATTTTGAACAGAATAACTGCATGATTACAACTCTTCAAGTACCATTTAAAAAGAGAATATAAATCCTGTTTGTGTCTGAAATGTTGTGTTGACACCACCTGGAGAAATTAAGGAAATGCCAGCACTAACATTTGCACAATCAATGTAAGTGGTACGGAAGAAATCCCAGGGATATGGACCACTCTGAAGAAAAGTGGCATTGGTAATGTCTTTGACGGCTGCAAGAGAAATATGGCTGAAAACAAGTAGACATTGATGATACTAACCCAAAACATTCACGAGTCAAACCCCGTATGGTAAGAAGTTTTGAAATGTCTTGTCCAATTTATTTAACTTATTTCTTCCTTTTTATGTATGCAAAAGATGCAAAACACTTATACATGATTAAAAATCTGCATCTTATTAGGTGTAGAAGAGTTCCTTCAGTAAGTATAAAGTATAAATTCCAAGTTGTAAAATATGTTGTCATTGTATAATTGGCAACATCTTTTTTTAAGTGGTTGATAAAATTATGATCTATCTTATAAACAATGACATCTTCAATTCAATAAAATAAAAGCTGACCATGGTGGCTCATGCCTGTAACCCCAGCATTTTGGGAGGTAGAGGAAGGTGGATTGTTTGAGCTCAGGAGTTCAAGACCAGCCTGGGCAACATGGCAAAACCTTGTCTCTATAACAAAATACAAAAATTAGCTGGGTGTGATGGTAAATGCCTGTAGTCCCAGCCACTCAGGAGGCTGATGTGGGAGGATCAGATGAGCCCAGGAGGTCAAGGCTGCAGCGAGCCAAGATTGTGTCACTGCACTCCAGCCTGGGTGACAGAGTGAGACCCTGTCTCAAAAAATAATAAATAAATAAATAAAATGAGAAGAATGATAATATGTAACATATTTAACACTCCCCACATGCAAGAAATAGTACTTTACATGTATTGATTTCATTTATTCATTCCAAAAGCTAGAAAGATAGGACCTGATACTATTGCTATTGCACTAGTGCTATATAATAATTACCCAAGGACATATAGCTAGTAATTGTACAGATGAAGCTACAAACACAGTCTCACCATAGAGTCGACTGACTTAAATACTACACCAAATTGTAACTGAAGATATGTTACCTACTTGGAAGCAACCATCTTATGTGGGAGAAAATGAATAACCTTAGCTCTGAAACTAAAATAAAAAATATTGTCTCTCTTTAGAAAATCTTAACAGTATATCATATTTTAAAGATTTAATGGCATCCTGTCAAAGATATATCTTTTTAAAAGAGATTTTAAAGTTCTGTTGTGAAATACTTCAAAGTTATTGCTAAATGAGAAATATTGACCCATCTTGTACCAGTCTTTTAACAACTACACTTTTATCTTTTATGTATAAATGTGGGGCTGAAAAGAGCCACATTCTCTGTAGCTAGTGATGGAAGGAAACAAATTAGACAGTATTGAACAAAATTGTTTATGGGAAATTGGGGTTTAGTTCCCATTGGCCATAAAATGCAGTATTATAGCATCAAATTAAACAAAACTTAAAATGGCACCACTTTGAATATTAGACATATGTTGGATCTGGACAACATTTCCAAACAAAAATTACTTACTTATATACATGTAGGGTGATTATTTTATAAAGCATGTAAAAAACTATAAAATATTTTTAATTACGCAGCATAATGTGGAAAATGCACAGTATTGTAGACAATAGATTAAATTTATATCTATTAATCTTATCAAAATGACCTTCAAACTTTAAAAACATTTTGTGCAATGTATAGTCAATGTATTATTAATGATTCATAAGATACTATTAATTACCATATATTACCTATGATATTCTGCTGGAATAAAATTGTATTTGTTAGAAGTAATTGAAATGCTTTCGGATTTTTTTTTTCCAATTTCTATTTCTGTCCTATTCTATATCTAAAATGCATTTGTGGTTGTGCAAAGTTGTTCCTAAGAACTCTTAGGATCAAGGAAATGTGAACTTCCTCTATGAAACTATTATTTAGGTTTCTTCAGCTGTTAAGACATTAATGTAACTAGGTTTGGGCAAACCCATTTATCCTGGGTAGAGCATAGCTTTCAGCGCATATGTAATTAGGACTGCATTCATCCCTAAATGTAATCATAATGGAAATATCAGCTGGGATTAGATGTCTGTGATGCAGGTTAGTTTAGTTTTTTTCTTACTGAACAGGTTTTTGCCTTAATAATCTCACTTGTCATGACAGCATGAGAGACTAGTGGTGAAAAATATATGAGTATCTCAGATCAATTTACATATATAACAAGTAATCACATTCTATATCTAGAGTGACTACGTTGGTTTGGAAAAAAATCCTTTGGATTAGAGTCATCAAAATAGGATTTTTAGCAGAGAAATAAAATGATTTTTATCAAGTTTGGGAATATTTATAGATAAAATGAGGTTTAATTCAGTTTATCTAAAAATAAATGTATAAACTGCATAATATTTGCCAGGCACTATGATGGATGATGTGCTGGAGTACTAGGATAATTAGTTCCTGCCCTCATGAAAGCAATAATCAAGTGTGGAAGACAGACAGAGGTACCGACAGACAAAAGCATTCAGGTACCAACTGGCAGTAGAGAGACACTGATGTTTTCACTGATATAAAATCAGGGAATAATGCCTGCACTTTTTTCTTAACATCGTTTTGGGGAACATAAAACAAGATAGAAGTAATTTTAAAGACTTAAATAAATTTAATGCACTTATTTGCTGTTATGTGGCTAAGCATATGAATCTGCTTATAATACGAGTATGAAATATTTTTATGAGTAGTTTAATTCCATACAGCCAGGTATTACAGCAAGTGTCTTAACTTATCATTATAGTTTGATCTCTAGTTCCATAAAATGTTCAATATGAATTGTGAAGTATAAAAATGTACACATATCCACAAAACAATATTAAGTTCTTTTTCAGAAATAAGAGTTTTTCCTCAAAGTCCACAATTTTAGTTTTTCTTTTAAATTTTATATTTGGAAGGATTACTACATCCCTATCATAACCTATATTGGGTTTTGTTTTGTATATATAGACACACAAAATATACACATGAATATATGTTGTGTGTGTGTCAATACATATATAATATATGGAGAGAGAAAAAAAGGAGATGATGTTTTCATGCAGATTCAGCAATCTTCAACCAAGAGTTATTAAAGTTATATGTGTGTAACATAGTCTCTCCAAGAGTTTTCTACTCAAGCACTGGCTGAGATTTTTCTTTTTTCTGTGCTTTCAGGAATATATTGGAAAACAAAGATAAAAGAGAATTCTCAAGTAAGTCATTTACTAGCTGAGAATTTAATTGTGAAGTTGCCAACCATGGTCTGATTTTTCATCGCCTTTTGTTCCAGGGTTATAAACTTTTCAATGCATTTATATTTATAAACAATGCCCATCACATGATGAGCATGGATTATTAGGAATGTCTCCCAATAGAATTTTGTCAGCTTTCTGTACACAATTAATTAAAAGCCCTGGTTCATTTTTTATCAAACATTTACAGTGGGTTAGAATATCTGAAATCTAAACTGAAAGTCTCTTTTAGCCCAAATGGCTACTCATTCCTTCATTTGGAAGGCTCTTTACTTCATGGGTTTGAAAGGGGGATTACAGCCATTGGAAAAATCACCTTGGGCAGAATGTGGTTTTGCTGATAACAGAATTATATTTCATAGTAAACAAGCCAGACTCTGTATCTAATTAACAAACCAACCGTGATAAAAATAAGTCAAAGGAGGAAACTTCTGGCCTAAAACTATGATCCTGCCTGCAAAAGAATGGAGAAGGTGTAACAATAGACCTCTGACCATGACGATATTTGCAAATCATGTTGTATTTCTAAGAGGAACTCAAATAAGCAGTCTTCATATCCTCTACAGCAGAGTAAAATCCATAATCCTAGAACTTTCTCTAACCCAGCTTCCCCACAGAAGCACCTTTGAATCACCTAGGGAACTTTTAAACCCTATCAATGCCTAGGTTCTAGCACTCAAATATAATATTCTGTTTAGTTAGTCTAGCACGGAACAGAGAACAGTTTACAATACGTTCATAAGTATACCTCTTCAGGTGATCATACTATGCAGCTAGGGTTGAAAGACTTGAATTTCTAGTCTGTTAATTCTGAGCAATCTGGAGTCATTTAAAAATATATGCATTGTATTAATCTTCATGATATTCACTTAGTATATCCTTTATTTTCCTCAGCATTACCTTAAATCTTGAAAGATCACTGTGAATCTAGTGGGAAGCAGTAGGTAATGGACAAAAAGTGCAGAGGAAGGAGGAAGGATAAGATTGGCAATGATAGTAAATACGTATTTAAAGTGGCTGTACCATATGAAGCTCTTGATATTTCACAGATCTTTCATATCTATTGCTTTACACATCTTTGTTTCACTGGGTTTTTCTGTTTGTTTGTTTTTTAGACTCGAGTGCATAGGTTGAGTTAATCATATTCATCTTTGTATGGCCCTTTAAATCTGTGCAACATTTTTTCTACATACATCCACAGCCCTCCCGTTTACTCTACTCTGTAACAGGCAACCGTTTTATCCAAAGTAGTGTATATTATTTTATTATATATAAAAACACCTTAAAATAAAGTAGAGCAAGTTCTATTATTCTCATTTTTACAGATGAAGAAGCTGTGAATTATCTATCTTTTGATGTGTATATTTTTAAAAATAGAAATGTTAGTTCAGATGGTAGAGATATTATAAGGTTTTAGGAACACAATTCTCTGAAGAATTTGTACCAATTGACATTCTCACTACAGATAAATGGTTTCTTCTTTTCACACAAACTTGCTAAAAATAGAAATTAATCATTCATCCTTTATTGTTAATAATCTGATAGAAAAAATCTCTTATTTTAATTATATTTATATTATAAATTAACATATTATAATTAAATTATTCTTGCTTTAATTTAGAAACCTTGATTGCTAGTGAGGTTGAACACATTTTCATTTGCTTAGTGGCTATTTTCATTTCTTCTATTTTGAGTTGTCTGTTCTTCTATTTCAGTTGTGTGTTTAGTTTCTTTGCCTATTTCTCACTTAACAGTTTTTCATTAAGGTATAATTGACATACAACAAAATTAACAGATTCCAGATATTCAGCCAGATGAATTTCAACAATTACATTCATATGTGTATCCACTAAGCAAACAAAAATATAAATCATTTTCTTCACACCAGAAAGCTTCATGTCTCTTTCCAATGGACTGCCCTCCTGCAAGCCCTTCTACCCATGACAGTTTTCTGGTTTCTATCACTATTGATCCAGTTTTCTCTTGTTGGACTTCATATATAAATGGAATCATAAAGTACATATACATTTGTATCTTAACTCTTTTGTTTAATATATTTGATATTGAACCATGTTTTGTTTCAATAATTTATTCTTTTTGTATTTCTAATTAATATTTCATTGTATGAATATACAGAAACTTGTTCTTGCATTCTCCTGTTAATAATCTTTACCCACAATTTTAGGGGTTATAATAAATATTATTGCTATATACATTCTTGTGAAAATTCCTTTGTTTACATACATTTTTAATTCCAGTGGCTAAATACCTAGGAGTGGAATTACTTGGCCATACCATAGGCATATGTTTTATTTTATTTGAAAAATATGAAATAGTTTTTCAAAGTGATTGAACCATTTTAAACTTCTACCAGAAACATACATAAGTGCCAGTTGCTATACATCCTCACCAACATTACTGCTTTTGATCTGGTTTATATTAGCTATTCCAGTCAGTGTGAAATGATAGCCCATAGTAATTTTAATTTGAATTACCCTAGAGACTTTTATATGTTATTCTTGACCATTTATGTATGTTCTTTTTATAAGGCATCTGATTAAGTTTTTGCCCATTTTTAAAAAGTGGCATCTCCATCTTTTAATTGCTATTTTGTAGGAATTCTTAATATATTCTAGATAGAAGTCCTTTGTCACATAAATGTGTTACAAATAATTTCTCCCTGTTTGTGGTTTGTATATTCATTTTTTTAACTATGTCTTTTGATGAACAGAAATTTTTGCTTTGGATGGAGCCCAATTTATTTTTTATTGTTTTTGATTCTACTGTACTTATTCAAGATTTTCTCTCTTATCCTAAGGGAGAAAAGTATTTTCTTATAGAAGCTTCATAGTTTTATGTTTACATTTAGGTCTACACTTGATCTCAAAGTGTTCTTTTGTGTCCTGAATGACAAAAAGATCAAGTTGTACTTTGCTTTTATATGGGAGTCTAGTTGTTCTAGCCTCATTTGTTAAAAGGGAGAAAATATTAGCAAATTACATGTGACAAAGAACTCATATCTGGAGCATTTAAAAAATACTTAAAAACAATCAAATTAGCAAATGGGTAAAAAACATGAAGAGATATTTCACTAAAGAAGTTATAGACGTAAAAAATAAACTCATAAAAATACGTTCAACATTGCTAGCCACCACACAAATGTAAATTAATACCACCATATGTTATCACTACATATTTATTAGAAAGACTAAAATAAAAAATAGCAACAATGCCAAATTTTGGTAAGAATGTGAAGAGACAATCTCTCATACATTGCTGGTGAAATATAGGATGGCAGTCACTCTGGAAAATGGTTTGGCAGTTCTTAAAAAACTAGACATATACTTGGGATATGACCCAGTAATCACATATGTAGATATTTATTTCAGAGAAATAAAACTACAAAACTTGCACATATTTATTTAAAGCAACTTTATATGTAATAGCAAAAACCTGAAGCAACCAAAATGTCCTACAAAAGATGAGTGATTGAAAAACAGCTGTGGTTCATCCAGGCTATGAAATACTACTCAGCAATAAAAAGAAATGAACCCTCAATACACATAACAACCTGAATGGATCTCAAGGTGATAATGTTGAGTGAAAAAAAGTCACTGTCAAAAGATCATATGCTTTATAATTTCTATTATATCACATTCTCCAAATGGCAAAATTAATAGAAATAAAGAGCAGATTAGTGTTTGCCAGGGATGGTGGAGGGGGGCAGAGTAATTATGAAGGAGTGACACTACAAAGATCTTCATGGTAATGGAATAATGCTGTATCTGTAATGTTGATCACATAAAAGTACTTGGGACAAAGGGACATAGAAATAACATACACACTTTATAACAATGTCACTTTTGTGGTTTTTATATTGTACTATAAGTATGTAAGATGTAGCCAATGGAGAAACTGTGCTAAATTTATACAGAACATCTCTGTAGTATCTTTGCAATTTCCTATGAATCTATAGTACTTCAAAAAAAAGAGGAAGAAAAGACTTTCTTTACGTCATTGTTGTTTATTTCTCTGTTGAAAGTTAGTTGACCATATATGTGAGGATTTATTTCTTGACTCTCTAGTATATTCCATTGGTTTTTCTTTTTTTAAATAAAAATAAAAATAAAAAAATAAAAATAAAAGTTATTATGGCCTGTGTTCTTTTTTTTGCATTTATTGGTTTATTTGTTTATTTATTTATTTAATTTTTATTTTATTATTATTATACTTTAAGTTTTAGGGTACATGTGCACAATGTGCAGGTTAGTTACATATGTATATATGTGCCATGCTGGTGTGCTGCACCCATTAACTCGTCATTTAGCATTAGGTATATCTCCTAATGCTATCCCTCCCCACTCCCCCTACTCCACAACAGTCCCCAGAGTGTGATGTTCCCCTCCCTGTGTCCATGTGTTCTCATTGTTCAATTCCCACCTATGAGTGAGAACATGCAGTGTTTGGTTTTTTGTCCTTGCGATAGTTTAGTGAGAATGATGATTTCCAATTTCATCCATGTCCCTACAAAGCACATGAACTCATCATTTTTTATGACTGCATAGTATTCCATGGTGTATATGTGCCACATTTTCTTAATCCAGTCTATCATTGTTGGACATTTGGGTTGGTTCCAAGTCTTTGCTATTGTGAATAGTGCCACAATAAACATACGTGTGCATGTGTCCTTACAGCAGCCTGATTTATAGTCCTTTGGGTATATACCCAGTAATGGGATGGCTGGGTCAAATGGTATTTCTAGTTCTAGATCCCTGAGGAATCGCCACACTGACTTCCACAATGGTTGAACTAGTTTACAGTCCCACCAACAGTGTAGAAGTGTTCCTATTTCTCCACATCCTCTCCAGCACCTGTTGTTTCCTGACTTTTTAATGATTGCCATTCTAATTGGTGTGAGATGGTATCTCATTGTGGTTTTGATTTGCATTTCTCTGATGGTCAGTGATGGTGAGCATTTTTTCATGTGTTTTTTGGCTGCATAAATGTCTTCTTTTGAGAAGTGTCTGTTCATATCCTTCGCCCACTTTTTGATGGCGTTGTTTGTTTTTTTCTTGTGAATTTGTTTGAGTTCATTGTAGATTCTTGATATTAGCCCTTTGTCAGATGAGTAGGTTGCGAAAATTTTCTCCCATTCTGTAGGTTGCCTGTTCACTCTGATGGTAGTTTCTTTTGCTGTGCAGAAGCTCTTTAGTTTAAATAGATCCCATTTGTCAATTTTGGCTTTTGATGCCATTGCTTTTGGTGTTTTAGACATGAAGTCCTTGCCCATGCCTATGTCCTGAATGGTATTGCCTAGGTTTTCTTCTAGGGTATTTATGGTTTTAGGTCTAACGTTTAAATCTTTAATCCATCTTGAATTGATTTTTGTATAAGGTGTAAGGAAGGGATCCAGTTTCAGCTTTCTACATATGGCTAGCCAGTTTTCCCAGCACCATTTATTAAACAGGGAATCCTTTCCCCATTGCTTGTTTTTCTCAGGTTTGTCAAAGATCAGATAGTTGTAGATATGCGCCATTATTTCTGAGGGCTCTGTTCTGTTCCATTGATCTATATCTCTGTTTTGGTACAAGTACCATGCTGTTTTGGTTACTGTAGCCTTGTAGTATAGTTTGAAGTCAGGTAGCGTGATGCCTCCAGCTTTGTTCTTTTGGCTTAGGATTGACTTGGTGATGCGGGCTATTTTTTGGTTCCATATGAACTTTAAAGTAGTTTTTTCCAATGCTGTGAAGAAAGTCATTGGTAGCTTGATGGGGATGGCATTGAATCTATAAATTACCTTGGGAAGTATGGCCATTTTCATGATATTGATTCTTCCCACCCATGAACATGGAATGTTCTTCCATTTGTTTGTATCCTCTTTTATTTCATTGAGCAGTGGTTTGTAGTGCTCCTTGAAGAGGTCCTTCACGTCCCTTGTAAGTTGGATTCCTAGGTATTTTATTCTCTTTGAAGCAATTGTGAATGGGAGTTCACTCATGATTTGGCTCTCTGTTTGTCTGTTATTGGTGTATAAGAATGCTTGTGATTTTTGTACATTGATTTTGTATCCTGAGACTTTTCTAAAGTTGCTTATCAGCTTAAGGAGATTTTGGGCTGAGACAATGGGGTTTTCTAGATATACAATCATGTCATCTGCAAACAGGGACAATTTGACTTCCTCTTTTCCTAATTGAATACCCTTTATTTACTTCTCCTGCCTAATTGCCCTGGCCAGAACTTCCAACACTATGTTGAATAGGAGTGGTGAGAGAGGGCATCCTTGTCTTGTGCCAGTTTTCAAAGGGAATGCTTCTAGTTTTTGCCCGTTCAGTATGATATTGGCTGTGGCTGTGGGTTTGTCATAGATAGCTCTTATTATTTTGAGATATGTCCCATCTATACCTAATTTATTGAGAGTTTTTAGCATGAAGAGTTGTTGAATTTTGTCAAAGGCCTTTTCTCCATCTATTGAGATAATCATGTGGTTTTTGTCTTTGGTTCTGTTTATATGCTGGATTACATTTGTTGGTTTGCATATATTGAACCAGCCTTGCATCCCAGGGATGAAGCCCACTTGATAATGGTGGATAAGCTTTTAGATGTGCTGCTGGATTCGGTTTGCCAGTATTTTTTTTGAGGATTTTTCCGTCAATGTTCATCAAGGATATAGATTAGTTTTAGCTAATTTTGAAGCTTAAAAGTATCTAAGAAGCTCATACTAATAAGAGTTCAATTGGTCACCCGTGATGATGCATTTTACTAAAGTTAAAGATACTTGAAGGATCAGGACATGACAATAATTTTCTACCATGGCTTCAAGTTGTATTATACAATTGTCCCCTTCTCACCATATTCACACTACATATACTAATTTTCCAGATTCTGCGTTAAGCATTAGAAATAAATCATTTTCTTTTATCATGTTAAGTGAAGTAAACCAGGCAGAGAAAGACAAACACCACATGATCTCATTCATATGTGGAAGCTAAAAAGGTCAGTCTCATAGAAGGAGAGAGTAGAGTAGTGGTAACTGGAGGCAAGGAAAGGGAAAGGGTGGGAGGGATAGCCAGAGGTTGATTAACAGATACAAAAGTACAGAAAGATAGAAGGGATAAGTCCTAGTGTTCTATAAGACTACAAGATGACTATAGTTAACAATAACTTATTATATATTTTCAAATCTCAAGAAGAGTAGATTTTTCCAACACAAAGTTATTATCAAAGTTAGAGGCAATGAATATGCAGATTATCCTGATTTGATCTTTATACATTGCATACATGTATCAAAATACTATACTGTACCCCATAAGTATGTATAATTTATTATGTCAGTTAAAAGTCATAATAGTAAAAAATATTTCCTTTAATATATATAATTAATTATATGAATTATATATTATTACTATCACCATTTTAGAGTTGAAGAAACAGAGTTGCAGAGATAAAATCTATTATTCAAGGTTTCACAGTAGCAAATAGCCAGGCAGTGAGACTCCAAAGCCCGCACTGGTAACCCCTCTAGATAGACAGTCTTAATACACACTCCTAATATGCAATATGATTATATAAGATGTATAATTAAAATGAATCCATACTGAGCAAATTTTGGTGGACAAAATATGTATGAAGCAATGATAATTACAGAGCAGATAATTGATAAATACCTCATAAATAAAGATGTGAGTCATCCCTAGAAAATGACAAAATGAAAAGGAAGACTTAGCATCACATTTAATATAGCACTTAGCATGATGGAAAAAGATTTTTTCCGGGGGGTTTTGTTTTGCTTTTTGTTTGTTGAGTTGGGTTTTGGTATCTTTCTCCCTCAGAAAATACTTTATAGCTTACTTTGTGTAAACAGACCATAAAATGTGTTAAATGTTACAGTCTTACAGGCAGGGATCTCAGCTCAGCTTGTATGTAACAACAATATTTTTGTCATGATATGTTGTGAAGAAAAGAATACACTTTCTCACTTAGATAATATAACTTTTACAGTTTCTTATTCAAAATAATATCATGTAACACAAATCAAGTTTATTCTTGTGTTGACATCTAAACCATTAAAGATTGTCCATGACTACAGCTTTTACAACAGTAGTTATTGCTATTTCCTAAGTCAGATGGGTCTTTTTTTTTTCATTATCTTTGATCTTTGTCACTTGTTTGCTATCAAATATTCTTTTTAAAAGAGGTTACTAATGGCATTTGTAAGAAGCAGGCAAGCATCCAATCAGGGTACTTATAATATCATACAGTTTACAGTGACATATTCACTAATATAACAGGCGTAAAGGCCATCTCATTTCATTTCACTTTTATATTTGTCAATACAATTATTCCATCATAATTTGTCATTACTTAACTTTGTCAGTCCTCATTGACATGACTTCACAAGTTGTGAATTCCAACCTATATTTTATGTCGAGCCCATAATTAGAAAACAAAAAATCAGATAGACTTTAACTCATTTTATTCATTTCATATGAAATCATTGGTTTTTAACATCATGGCCATGCTATTTTGCTATCATTGGCCTTATATCATATGGGTAATTTCAAAATGCATCTCTCTGCTGCACCTAATCTGATCCTACTGCATGTCAAGTCACACTCCTTACCCATACTCCCCTGTTTTATAAGATGTAGTGTCTGATTTAAGCATTTGATTTTATCTTGTATTTTATTCACTGTGGTAAAATAATGTATTGGTGTAACAATTTGAAAAATCTTGTATTTGTTCCTGTCCAGGAAGGTAGCCAAGGGCTTTGTATTATCTTCTCTCAGAGAATCCAGCAGGGAGAATAGAAACAACTGAAGTTATCAGTTCTTCCTGTCTTTGGTACTGGCCAATCTTTAGAAGAGTTGTCACAGATGTTGGAGGGGAGAAGCAATTGAGAAAAAAAAAATTAAAAGAGACTGAGAAGGAGAGAAAACAATACTGTAGATCTTTCTAATAGAGACCCTGGGTATTAGCAGACAGCACCCTGAGTAATAGAAGACTTTAGAGAGGAATAGGCACCTTATGCTCCAAGATAGAAGATATTCTTTATTTGTTTTATATCTATGGTTTTCAGGTTGGAAATGGAAATCTGTAACTTATAAAAGAAATGCTCAAAATTCGTAAAATTAAAAAAGATGGAATACTATTTTACTTCTAGTCTAAAAGTCAAAAAAACTGTAAATACCATCTAGCACATAATGTTTAATGAGCTCAGTGTTATTCTGTTATTCAAATATATATCTCACTCAGCATTGGTGAGAAAAATTTACGAAAATTGAATTTCTAAGTCAAATATTGAATGTTAACATTAAAGATTGGCTGAAATAATATTAGAAGGCTTGGTAGCTTCACAGATGGACATGAAAGCATTTGGGAGAAATTACACTTTGGCTTTCCAATATTAGCATCCTTACCATAGAAATATGTTTTAGATTTTTTCATAGAACAATTTCTTCATAACAAAAATAATATGTTTCATCTATTTGTGTACAGATTGTGTTGATGTATCTGTGATATAGACATATAAAACTATATATTATAGTAGTGCTCCTGAAAAGTTATACATAAATAGAATTTATAATTCTTCTAGTAGCATCATTGTAATTTCAATGAAACTTTAAGTATAAAGGAATTACTTTGTGGTGTCAGTAACCCCATCCTAATTAAAGTATTTTAAACTTTAAAATAATTATTGAGTTTCATTAAATTAGGCCACTCTTGAATTATAATAAATCAGTAGTCATAATAATAAATAAATTAGCAGTTTATTACAAGACAGAGAAGGAAATAAATGTATATTGTGCAGTCTGTGGTATAAACTTGGATAAGAAAATGAAATCATAGAATTGGAGTTGCCAAAAAATGACTTTTTTAGGACTCTGGTCCAGAAGAGATGGAATACATTTATTTCTCCCAATTCCTCAGGCTAAGTTGTACTTACATTATAAGCTGGAAATAATGTAAGAGGCAACTAAAGGAGAAATCGGATCACAAGATCAGGAGTTTGAGACCAGCCTGACCAACATAGTGAGACCCCGTCTCTATTAAAAATACAAAAATTAGCTGGGCATGGTAGCACATGCCTGTAGTTCCAGCTACTTGGGAGGCTGAGGCAGGAGAATCACTTGAACCAGGAGGTGGAGGTTGCAGTGAGCCGAGATTGCACCACTGCACTCTAGCCTGGGCAGCAGAGTGAGACTCTGTCTCAAAAAAAAAAAAAAAAAAAAAGTGAAATAAGAAAGGAGAACTAGTTTGGGAACCCAGTACAGTGGAAACAAGCAAGCACACGTTGACTTACACCTGTATCCCATTCTCTCCAACCAAATCAGCTACCAACATAAAGAAAGTGATGCAGACTCAGCATTTCCTGACTCCAATCTAGCCACAGAAGGCGCCTCCCTAGGCTTTTTCCTTCCCCACATCAAACAAGAACCCTCCTGAAAGCACCATGTGAGCTTACTACTACTAGAAATGAGACATCACTCCAGAACTCTGCTAATGATTAGAGTCTAGAACAAGAATTATCTTACCTAAGACTTTCCTCCCCCACCAAGAGATATCAGAGTGGCTGAACAGCAAGGACAATGAATGAAAGACCATGTCACAAGGAAGTCTCCTTAGCCAAGTAGGCCTACAGCTCCAGTCCTTCATTGAGACACACTAGGGCTGCTGGGCGTGGGAAAACATCTTTTTTCTCCTTAGGCAGCACCAGCAGGAGTGAGTGAATCCCTGGTTGCACCAGATAAACCAAGTAGACCAATATAACAAAGCAAAGGCTTGAAAATTAAATTCTCATTGGAACCACAGCCCGCAAATGTAAACCAGGACTTGCATGCAAAACCTAAATAGGGGATTGCCTGTCAAAAGATTAAAAGGGAACCCAGGGTCTTCTAACACAAAATATAAAATATCCAGGATACAGATTATTTTTCAAAATATATAATGGATTTTTACTTATTATAGTCACCTTTCTCTTCAATAAATTACTAAACTATATTACTCCAACTAAAACTTTGTACACTTTGATTAACACTTCCTTTTTCCCTATCCCTCCCTCACTTTAGCCTCTGGTAACCATCATTCTACTCTCTACTTCTATGAGGTCAATATTTTTAATTTCCACATATAAATGATATCATGTGGTGTTTGTCTTTCTGTGCCTAGCTTATCTCACTTAGCATAACATCCTCTAGGTTCATCATATTGATGCAAATGACAAGATTTCTCCCCTTTTTAAGGTTGAATAGTGTTCTATCATATATATACATATGATATATATATATATAAAATGTACTTATCATAAAAGAATCAGGAAAATAACAACTTAGATGGGAAAATAGAATCAACTGACGACAACACTGAGATGAATCAGCTATTTTAATTATCCAATAAGGGTTTTAAGACAGCTTGCATAAAAATGCTTCAATATCAATTACAAGTTCTCTTTCAACAAATGAGACAATGAAAAATCTCAGCAAAGAAATACACATTATTAAAAAAGAACCAGATTTTAGTTATATGACCATAAAGACAATAACAAAATAAAAATAAATCTAGCTGATGGTTTTAGTAACAGCGGTTCTATAAAAGATATTAGAAACAATAAACTTGAGGACAGATCAGTAGAATTAATCTAAATAATGAAAGAAAACTGACTGTAAAAGAAATGAATAGAGCCTCAGAAACCCCTAAGAAACAATGAAAGGCCCAACGTTTATATCAGTGGAGTTTCAAGGTGCAGACTAAGAAGTGGTGATGAAGGGGTATTGTAAAGATAATGGCTAAAAGACTTTCCAAATGTAGTGAAAGATATAAACCTACAGATTCAAGAACCTCAATAAATTTTAAACATGAAGAAACCAAAGACATCCAAGCAAAGACACTTCTAAAATTGAAATTCAGAAAGCTGAAGACAAAGTCCTGAGAGCAGCAAGAGAGAAACTGATGGGGATAGGATGCACAGGAATTCTAGGCAGTAAAAGGTGGGTCCCTTGCCAGGGACCCATCCTCAAGCTCAAAGCCTGAGACCACAGCCTAAAGTGAGAACACATACCCCTGTTTTCCTGCTTGAATATTGCCTTTTCCAAAATCACCCATGGCTTGCCTTGCCCCCCATCTTGTGCTTATAAAGACCCCAGGCTCAGTTGGCAGAGAGAGGAGGAGCAGCTGGACGTCGGAGACTATGGCTGGATTTCAGAGAGAAGCGACTTGACTTCAGAGGTACAGCTTGATGGTATAACTTCAAAGAATCTGGCTGGAGATGGCCGGATTTCAGGGGAAGATTACCTTCCTGCCCCATCTCCTTTTCAGCTCCCCTTCCCGCTGACAGCCAATTTTATTGGCAATAAAATCCCCCGCATTTACCATCCTTCAATTTATTCATGGGACTTCATGTCTCTTGGATGCTGGACAGGAGCTCGCGTGTCACTTGAGTGCAGATACGAAAGGCTATCACACTTGCCCTTTTCACTCACAGGCGTAAGGCAGCTGCCTCACATGAAAAGGCAAAGGGCTCACTGAGCTGTTAACACTTAAGCCATCTGTGGATGGCAGAGCTGAAAAAGCACTATAACACTCCCTCCGGGGCTTCAGGGGTTGTGGGCACACCCCCGCATGCTGCTGTGGGGCCTGCAAGAATTTCACTCCTGCCAGGGCCCAAAAGCGCTCACCCTGGCTCCTGCACCTGCTCAACTGTGCGCACCCTCTCCTAAGGGGTGGAGCACAGCGGGTCAGAGTGAATGGAGTTCACTCCTGCCAGCACCAAAGCAACTGGCTGGTTCCAGAGTTCATGCACTCCAGTTCAGTTCGTGCCTTGTTCACTAGCACACTCTCTCCTGCAAAAAAATTGAAAGCTGCGGGCTGGGTAAATGAGGCACCCCTATTGCGAGTCCTGCAAAGGGATCAGGGAAATATACTGCTTCAAATGACACCTTACCTATGGGAAATGCCAATTTGAATGGCAGCTGATTTCTTATCTGAAGGCACAGAGGCAAAAGGAAAATGACAAAACATTTTTGAAATGCTGAAAGAAAAGTACAGTGAACTGCAAATTCCATATTCAGCAAAATAAATCTTTAGCTGTTAAGGAGAAAGGAAGACATTCTCAGATGATGGAAAACTTAAAAAAAAATTGTTGCTGGCAAACCTACCCTTAAGAATGACTAAAGAAATCTGTCAAAAGCAAAGAATTTTTTTTAAGGAAAAAAACTCACTTCAAATTCAATGACTTAGACAAGTAGAAAGTTAAAAGCTTTCTACTTGAAAATATATAGTGCACAAATATTAAAGTAACATAGGAGTGACTATATTAACATCTGGTGGTAAAGTAGATTTCAGAACAAAAATAAATTGCTAGAGACAAAGAATTACATTATATATTGATATAAGAATCAATCCAACAGGAATTTATAATAATCCCAAATGTGTCCATACCTAACAATGGAGCCTCAAAATATATGAAGTAAAAACTGACAGAGCTGAAAGAGAAGTGGAAAACCCAAAATGGTGGAGAAATTCAATCCCTTACTTCCCTCAGTAACTAACAGAACTAACAGACAGAAAATAAGCAAAGATATAGATCTGAACACACCAACAACAGGATCTAATTGACATATATAGAACATTGGTCCAACAAAGTGGAATATTTTTTTAAGTGCCCATGAAATATTCACCAAAAACGACAGGAGCCTGGATCATAAAACCAACTTCAACAATCTAAAGAATAAAACCACAAAGAGTGTGTTCTCTGACCAAAGTAGAATCCAATGAGAAATCATGAACTGAAAGTCAATAAGAAAATCTCTAAATATATAGAATTTATTTATTTATTTACTTATTTATTTATTTTATTTTATTTATTTCTTTTTTTGAGACAGAGTTTCTGTCTGTCGCCCAGGCTGGAGTGCAGTGGCATGATCTCGGCTCACTGCAACCTCCACCTCCTGGGTTTGAGCAATTTTCCCGCCTCAGCATCCTGAGTAGCTAGGATTACAGGCACGGGCCACCATGCTCAGTTAATTTTTGTATTTTTAGTAGAGACAGGGTTGCACTATGTTGGCCAGGCTGATCTCGAACTCCTGACCTCACGTGATCCTCCCATCTCAGCTTCCCAAAGTGCTGGGATTACAGGCATGAGCCATCGCGCCAGGCTAAATAATTTAAACTACATGCTTATAAATAATCCATGTGTAAAAGAAATTTTTATCAAAAGAAAATGAAGATAAACATAGAACTGAATGAAAATAAAAACACGACTTATCCAAATTTGTGGGATGCACTTAAAGCAGAGCTGAGAAAGCAAGTTATAGCACTATCTGTTTACGTTAAAACAAGGAAACCTCTCAATACAGCAAGTTCCTACTCCAAGAAACTAAAAATAGGAGAGCAAGATAAAATAGAAAGGCAAAATTAAGCAATAAGAAAAAAATAATAACAACAAAAGCAAAAATCAATGAGCCAATTAAACTAAAAATAGAAAACAATAGATAAAAACAATGAAGCAAGATTGGCAGTTTGAAAAGATTCAGGAAATAGGCAAACCACTAGCAAGACTGACAAACAAAAAGGCTAAGAGACACACATCACTAATATCAGAAATTAAATAGGGGATATCACTACAGATGCCTCAAAAAACAGGAGGATAATAAATAATATGAATGACTTGATACCTATAATTTCAGAAACTTTGAAAAAATGGCCTAATTCTCCCAAACCACAAAATACCAAAATTCGTCCAAGTTTAGATAATCTGAATAGATCTGTAAGCATTAAAAATTGAATTTGTAATTTAAAAGCTCCAGAAAAATGAAGCACTATGGCCAAGATTTTACTAAAGAATTTTACTAAATATTTAAAGAACACCAATTTTACACAGTTTGGGCCATTACTTAAAAAATGTTAAATTAAGACAGAGATGGCAAGGAGAGAAGGAGAGAAAGAGGAAAACGTGAGTTTTATGACGAGTTTTATTTCATTATCAGAGAGCAGAGGTTTTTCTGAAGAAGCATAAAATACATATCTTACAGAGAAAATAATAAATTAATAGACTATATAATCTAATGAATGTCTCTTTTGACAAACCTTATTTTAAAACTAATTTTAAAAACAAATGGCAGGTAACATTCCATTCCTATCTTGATGTTGTAACTGGTATCAAATTTACCCTATTGGCATAGACAATGAAAAGAGCTGGAGAAAATTAGAAACTGCATTGCCGGTCTTGAATAGCAACCAAGGCAGGGCTATAATGTTGGAGAGAAGGTAATTACATAGGCAAGTTTCATATTTGCCTTAGATCTTCATGATAGCACTTTCCAAAATGGTGATGGCAATTAGAGCCTAAATGGAGAGCAGCAGCCCCACTGGGCAAATAAAACATAGATTGCATTTTTGAAGCATAAGGATTCTTATTTGTGCTTAGCATTCGATCCATGTGATATGTTGTTTAGGTTGAAGAACCAAAGGCTGGAGAAAACCAGCCTTAAACAGATATCTAGTTGGAAAAGAGAGTAGTAGTTAAATAGCACTTTTAGATATTTGTACATATTCTTCAATTACTCATAAACACTGAACAAATAGTAGTTATATAAAGGCTTGTTGCAAAGTAAAATCTGAACCTCCCATTATCTGTTGTTACACTGAAATCCATGGGACTATCTTATACTTTGACTGAAACGTTTACCCATGCATGGTCTTGTAATCATGCCTTCTTCATTCGGGGAAAAAAAAGTTTATTGCTATGCAGATATTCCAAATATTGACATATTTCATTATATGCTATCTAAAAGATCACATTCATTAAAAATCACCACCAATCTCATTGGAAAACTCTTTAAATATCAGGAAGCTGTCAATCTCATAGTGGTAAACACAGTTTTTAAAATTTTAATATTTTGCTTAAAGTTTTTATTTTTAACGTGGGCAGCTGTTTTTCTTCAACCGCTTTTTTTTTTTTTTGAAGCAAAAGGAATTTCTTTCAGTTTTGAGAAAATATCTGCCAAATAGTTATGGTTTGTTTCTCAGTCATTCTTTCAAGTAAGTGAATTTTTATGAAGAAAAGCAAATGTTAGTTTTCAACTCAAATAATAGGACAAATGCTTTTTCTTGAGATAATCAGTACACTTTAGTATGCAGCAGAAGTGTTTTATGCATACTTCACATTGTTTCACACAGACTAAGATGTGTAATCAAGATCAAAATTCAATAAACTTAAATCATTTTCACTGCTTCATCAAGGTATTCTAAAGTGAAATTGCCATTTTTTCCCTCATGTGCATAGCAACAAATAAATAATGACTAATGACTACTATATTGTCTAATTTCACTGCCTTGATTCGTACTATGTCCCCATCAATTTTACCCACAATTGCTATTGTATAATCAGTATAAATACCCACACAGTGAAAAGACAAATAACTTTATAGTATTTTTCACCACTTTCAGAATCACTAGAATCCAGAGATACACATATGCATAAGCACTTGATGTGTGGTAAAAGCTCACTATAATTCACATGGTCTTTTCAATAAATGTGCTTGGTCAATAAATATCCATATGGAAAAACTAACAAACCAAAACAAAACACCTTAACCCCATTTTTACCATATACAAATATTAATTCAAAATGTTTTATAGACCTAAATATTAAACCTAAAGTAATTTTCTAATAGAAAATGTAAAAACTATCTTTGTAATCTTCATATAGGGAAAAATGCTTTGGACACAAAACTCAGTATCATAATAAAAAAGATTGATAAATTGTGCATTAAATTATTTTATCAAAGGGAAATATTGAGAGAAAAAAGTCATAAGATATTTGCAACATATAAGTGTGACAAATGAATTATAACAATATTTTATTTAAAAAACTAAAAATTAAAATTCGATACAAAAATGACTCAAAATGTTTGAGTTGATACATGCCAAAAGACAATGCCAATACAAAGGTTTCAATAGCATTAGTTATCAGAGAAATACAAATTAAGACCAAAGCGAGACACCAGTACACATCCACCCAAATGGTTACAATATCCACTCACTCAGAGACTGACAAGATTAAATATTGGTGAGGATGTGGGTCAAGTAGAATGCTGTTAGATTGTTGACAGAATTGTAAGTTGATGGACAACTTTGAAAAACTGATAGGCATTACCTAGAGTTTAAAAATGTATATCCTATGGAACAACAATTTCATTCTTGGATTTGTACTTAAGAGAATTGAGTGCTTATGTCCATCAAAAAGCATGTGCAAGAATGTTTAAAGCAGTTCTTGCAATAATACAAAACTGGGCACAACACCGATAACCATCAAGAGTAGAATAGGCAAGCAAATTTTACTATATTCGTGATGGAATAGTACATAAAATGTAAAAAAAGATTAGATTGAAACACTGAACATGAAAAAAAATCTCACAACCACATTTGGGTGAAAGAATTCAGACAGAGAAGAGCATATACTTACTATTCCATTTATGTGAAATTCAAAATAAGCCAAAAGTCTATGGCTATGGAAGTCATAGAGTAGTTACCTTTGGGTAATTACTGACTTGTGATGGCAGTGGGAGGGAAAACAAGATGAAACATTTTGGAGTGTTAGAAATATTATATATGGCAACCTGGATAGTGGTTATATAGATGTATACAAGTGTTAAAATTTACCAAACCCTGCACTTAAGTTTGTGTGTGTGTGTGTGTTTGCGTGTGTATACTTTACTGTGTACTTTATTGCACACTTTCCCCCTCAAGAAAACAATAAAAAGAGAGGAAGCATAAATGCCTAAGTAACTCAACATCAGAACATACCATAAAAAAAGAGGAAAATGATTGCAACATGTATGAAAAGAAAATGGTTCAGAATCTTAATTCACAAAGAGCATGTAAAACTATAAGAAAAAGCAAGTAATGTAAAATAAACCGTTGTCACTGAATATGAATAAATTAACGTTAAGAAACCCAAATGAGCAAACAAAATCTAAAATATGCAGATTTATTCCTAATAGACTCATCTTTTTTTAAAAATTGAGTTATTTATTTTTTATTATATTATTATTGTTATTTTTGAGGCAGGGTCTTGCTGTGCCACTTAGGTTGGAGTGCAGTGGCATGATCTCGGCTCACTACAATCCCCACCTTCTGGGTTCAAAGCATTCTCATGCCTCGGCCTCTCGAGTAGCTGGGGTCACAGGTGTGGGCCATCCAGCTAATTTTTGTATTTTTAGTAGACACGCGGTTTCACCATGTTGGTCAGGCTGGTCTCAAACTTCTGGCCTCAAGAGATCCACTGGCCTTGGCCTCCCAAAGTGCTGCGATAACAGGCATGAGCCACCACACCCGACCAAAAAATTAAGATTAAAAAATTGCATAATAGTCAGCTCCTATAAGAATGTCTAGAAATAGACAATCTGATTTAATGTTTATGATAGTCAAATTTGGTGCTTTCATTTTGGAGAAGATGGATCTTTATCTTTCAGCTTTGTACTTTTATACTTGGTGCTATTTGGCTGGTTGGTTGCTTTTGGCTAGCAATTATCTTACGTTTCCAAAAATAAATATAGAAATATATGGCAACTTTGTTTGCCTAAGCAAACAATTGGAAACTGATTAAATGCCAATCAATAGAGGCTTCATCAAGTAAATAAACTATGAATGTCTAGGTATTCATTTAAAAATAATGAGCTAGATCTGTGTGTATTGACACGAACTATTCTCAGAGATGCAAAGCGATTGAAGCAGGTTGCAAAATACTGTATATAGTATGATCTCAGTTTTTGTAAGAGTGCGTAAACAAAACAGCTAATAGAACTTATTTTTGGACAGAAGAACATGGTCAGAGATAAGGAAGAGTCTCATTTTTCATTTTATATTTGGCAGTTTGAATTTTTTTTTTTTAATTCAGTGATGGGGTTTCACTCTTGCTGCCCAGGCTAGAGTGCAATGGCATGATGTTGACTCACCGCAACCTCCACCTCCCGGGTTCAAGCAATTCTCCTGCCTCAGCCTCCCTTGTAGCTGGGATTACCGGCGTGCACCACCACGCCCGTCTAATCTTTTTTGTATTTTTTTTTTTAGTAGAGACAGGGTTTCTCCATTTTGATCAGGCTGATCTCAAACTCCTGACCTCAGGTGATCCGCCCACCTCGGCCTCCCAAACTGCTGGGATTACAGGCGTGAGCCACCGTGCCTGGCCTGGCAGTTTGAATTTTCTAATAAAATATGTTACTTTTATTTGAAGAAATAGTGTGTATGAAATACAAGCCTTTTTTCTGGTTTATGTTTTTCTCTACTGATAATTTTAAATCATCATTTCTAAAATTCTGAACAAAACTGAAGTGATCCAAAGATTTCATTAAGGAAATCTGGGTGTAAAGTGAATTACCACAAGAGAACTTTGTCTTAACCTTAGAATACATAGTAAGATAGTGAAAGTTGGTTTTCTGTAAGGACTTATCATGTTCAATACTATTAAAAGATCACTTCATCATAAGTTACCATATCTGAGTCAGTTCTTAGTTCTTTCTACTCACTACTTGAGCTGAAATAGATTAAAATAATTAACTTCAGTTCAAAGACTAGTGCGAATAATGATTTGATCAATTCAAGCAGGAAGAGCTTTAACAGAAGAAATTAGATGCTCATGAAATCATTGGAGAGCTCCAGAAAGATGTTATATCTCTTAAATTTATGAACATTTCTGCTGTACCTGACATATGGAGGTCAGAAAGCTATTACTACAGTCATCATGTCTCCCTTAAAAGGGCCTCTTCCCTTCAAAAAGCTGCTGGTTCTCTAGGATGGTAAGTACAGCCAATCCCACTGCTGCTGAACACCTAAGGTTCTATAATCTTGTCCGGCCGAGGACAAGAAGCATGGTCTCCAGACCATTTCTATCTTCCCAGTATTAAGTGTGTGTAATCTAAGGAACCCTAATTGCATCAAGACTCCTAGCCTCAGGAGAGTTGTTAAACACATCAACCTTCCCCATATTTGAGAGTCATTATCCTTGTGCCTTTTCATGTGGAGTTTTTTCCCTTGGGCTTTCTCATGGCTTAGTCCTCATCATTTAGGTATCTGCTCATATATCGTCTCCTTAAACACTTCTCATTTGACATTATACAAAATATTAAGCCTCTTTGACTACCTTTTTTATTCTCTTAAACATTTTGTCTTCTCTATAAATTTTTTTTAATTTTTTTATTATTATACTTTAAGTTCTAGGGTACATGTACACAATGTGCAGGTTTGTTACATATGTATACATGTGCCATGTTGGTGAGCTGCACCCATTCACTCATCATTTACATTAGGTATATCTCCTAATGCCATGCCTCCCCCCTCCCCCCACTCCATGACAGACCCCGGTGTGTGATGTTCCCTTTCCTGTGTCCAAGTGTTCTCATTGTTCAATTCCCACCTATGAGTGAGAACATGTGGTGTTTGGTTTTCTGTCCTTGCGACAGTTTGCTCAGAATGATGGTTTCCAGCTTCATCCATGTCCCTACAAAGGACATAAACTCATCCTTTTTTATGGCTGCATAGTATTCTATGGTGTATATGTGCCACGTTTTCTTAATCCAGTCTCTCATTGATGGACATTTGGGTTGGTTCCGAGTCTTTGCTATTGTGAATAGTGTCGCAATAAACATACATGTGCATGTGTCTTTACAGCAGCATGACTTATAATCCTTTGGACATATACCCAGTAATGGGATGGCTGGTCAAATGGTATTTCTAGTTCTAGATCCTTGAGGAATTGCCACACTGTCTTCCACAATGGTTGAACTAGTTCACAGTCCCACCAACAGTGTAAAAGTGCTCCTATTTCTCCACATCCCCTCCAGCACCTGTTGTTTCCTGACTTTTTAATGATTGCCATTCTAACTGGTGTGAGATAGTATCTCATTGTGGTTTTGATTTGCATTTATCTAATGAACAGTGATGATGAGCATTTTTTCATGTGTCTGTTGGCTGCATACATGTCTTCTTTTGAGAAGTGTCTGTTCATATCCTTTGCCCACTTTTTGATGGGGTTGTTGGATTTTTTTTTTTGTAAATCTGTTTAAGTCCTTTGTAGATTCTGAATATTAGCCCTTTGTCAGATGGGTAGATTATAAAAAATTTCTCCCATTCTGTAGGTTGCCTGTTCATTCTGATGGTAGTTTCTTTTGCTGTGCAGAAGCTCTTTAGTTTAATTGGATCCCATTTGTCAATTTTGGCTTTTGTTGCCATTGCTTTTGGTGTTTTAGTCATGAAGTCCTTGCCTATGCCTACGTCCTGAATGGTATTGCCTAGGTTTTCTTCTAGGGATTTTATGGTTTTAGGTCTAACCTTTAAGTCTTTAATCCATCTTGAATTAATTTTTGTATAAGGTGTAAGGAAGGGATCCAGTTTCAGCTTTCTACATATGGCTAGCCAGTTTTCCCAGCACCATTTATTAAATAGGGAATCCTTTCCCCATTTCTTGTGTTTGTCAGGTTTGTCAAAGATCAGATGGCTGTAGATGTGTGGTATTATTTCTGAGGGCTCTGTTCTGTTCCATTGGTCTATATCTCTGTTTTGGAGCCAGTACCATGCTGTTTTGGTTACTGTAGCCTTGTAGTATAGTTTGAAGTCAGGTAGCGTGATGCCTCCAGCTTTGTTCTTTTGGCTTAGGATTGTCTTGGCAATGCGGGCTCTTTTTTGGTTCCATATGAACTTTAATTTTTTTCCAATTCTGTGAAGAAAGTCATTGGTAGCTTGACGGGGACGGCATTGATTCTATAAATTACCTTGGGCAGTATGGCCATTTTCACGATATTGATTCTTCCTATCCATGAGCTTGGAATGTTCTTCCATTTGTTTTTGTCCTCTTTTAATTCATTGAGCAGTGGTTTGTAGGTCTCCTTGAAGAGGTCCTTCACATCCCTTGACAGTTGGATTCCTAGGTATTTTATTCTCTTTGAAGCAATTTGATGGGAGTTCACTCATGATTTGGCTCTCTGTTGTTGGTATATAGGAATGCTTATGATTTTTGCACATTGATTTTGTATCCTGAGAATTTGCTGAAGTTGCTTATCAGCTTAAGGAGACTTGGGCCTGAGACGATGGGGTTTTCTAAATATACAATCATGTCATCTGCAAACAGGGACAATTTGACTTCCTCTTTTCCTAACTGAATAACCTTTATTTCTTTCTCCTGCCTAATTGCCCTGGCCAGAACTTCCAACACTATGTTGAATAGGAGTGGTGAGAGAGGGCATCCCTGTCTTGTGCCAGTTTTCAAAGGGAATGCTTCCAGTTTTTGCCTATTCAGTATGATATTGGCTGTGGGTTTGTCATAAATAGCTCTTATTATTTTGAGATATGTCCCAACAATATCTAGTTTATTGAGAGTTTTAGCAATTCAACAGGGCTGTTGAATTTTATCAAAGGCCTTTTCTGCATCTACTGAGATAATCATGTCTTTGGTTCTGTTTATATAATGGATTACTTTTATTGATTTGCATATTTGAACTAGCCTTGCATCCCAGGGATGAAGCCAACTTGATCATGGTGGATAAGCTTTTTGATGTGCTGCTGGATTCAGTTTGCCAGTATTTTACTGAGGATTTTCATGTCAGTGTTCATCAGGGATATTGGCCTGAAATTTTCTTTTTTTTGTTGTGTCTCTGCCAGGCTTTGGTTTCAGGATGATGCTGACCTCATAAAATGAGTTAGGGAGCATTCCTTCTTTTTCCATTGATTGCAATAGTTTCAGAAGGAATGGTACCAGCTCCTCTTTGCACCTCTAGTAGAATTCGGCTGTGAATCCATCTTGTCCTGGACTTTTTTTGGTTGGTAGGCTATTAATTATTGCCTCAATTTCAAAGCTTGTTATTGGTCTATTCAGGGATTCAACTTCTTCCTGGTTTAGTCTTGGGAGACTGCATGTGTCCAGGAATTTACCCATTTCTTCTAGATTTTCTAGTTTATTTGCATAGAGGTGTTTATAGTATTCTCTGACAGTAGTTTGTATTTCTGTGGCATCGGTGATGATATCCCCTTTATCATTTTTTATTGCATCTATTTGATTCTTCTCTCTTTTCTTATTAGTCTTTCTAGCAGTCTATCAATTTTATTGATCTTTTCAAAAAACCAGCTCTTGGATTCATTGATTTTTTGAAGGGCATTTTTTTTTTGTCTCTATCTCCTTCAGTTCTGCTCTGATCTTAGTTAATTCTTGCCTTCTGCTTGCTTTTGAATGTGTTTGCTCTTGCTTCTCTAGTTCTTTTAATTGTGATGTTAGGGTGTCAATTTGAGATCTTTCTTGCTTTCTCTTGTGGGCATTTAGTGCTATAAATTTCATTTCCCTCTACATACTGCTTTAAATGTGTCCTAGAGATTCTGTTATATTGTGTCTTTGTTCTCACTGATTTCAAAGAACATCTTTATTTCTGCCTTCATTTCGTTATGTACCCAGTAGTCATTCAGGAGCAGGTTGTTCAGTTGCCATGTAGTTGAGCAGTTTTGAGTGAGTTTCTTAATCCTGAGTTCTAGTTTGATTGCACTGTGGTCTGAGAGACAGTTTGTTATAATTTCTGTTTTACATTTGCTGAGGAGTGCTTTCCTTCCAACTGTGTGGTCAATTTTGGAATAAGTGTGATGTGGTGCTGAGAAGAATGTATATTCTGTTTATTTGGGGTGGAGAATTCTGTAGATGTCTATTAGGTCTGCTTGGTGCAGAGCTGAGTTCAATTCCTGGATATCCTTGTTAACTTTCTGTTTCATTGATTTGTCTGATGTTGACAGTGGGGTGTTAAAGTCTCCCATTATTATAGTGTGGGAATCTAAGTCTCTTTGTAGGTCTCTAAGGACTTGCTTTATGAATCTGGATGCTCCTGTATTGGGTGCATATATATTTAGGATAGTTAGCTCTTCTTGTTGAATTGATCCCTTTACCATTATGTAGTAGCCTTCTTTGTCTCTTTTGATCTTTGTTGGTTTAAAGTCTGTTTTATCAGACTAGGATTGCAACCCCTGCTTTTTTTTTTGTTTTTCATTTGCTTGGTAGAACTTCCTCCATCCCTTTATTTTGAGCCTATGTGTGTCTCTGCACGTGAGATGGGCTTCCTGAATACAGTACACTGATGAGTCTTGACTCTTTATCCATTTGCCAGTCTGTGTCTTTTAATTGGAGCATTTAGCCCATTTACCTTTAAGGTTAATATTGTTATGTGTGAATTTGATCCTGTCATTATGATGTTAGCTGGTTATTTTGCTCATTAGTTGATGCAGTTTCTTCCTAGCATTGATGGTCTTCACAATTTGGCATGTTTTTGCAGTGGTGGTGACAAAATCTCTCAGCATTTGCTTGTCTGTCACACGATTTTTAAAAATGGTTCCTGTCCAAGATGGCCAAATAGGAACAGCTCCAGTCTACAGCTCCCAGCAGGAGTGATGCAGAAGACGGGTGATATCTGCATTTCCAACTGATGTATCGAGTTCATCTCACTGGGGCTTGTCAGACAGTGGATGGAGCCCATGGAGCATGAGCCGAAGCAGGGTGAGGCATCGCCTCACCAGGGAAGCGCAAGGGGTCGGGGAATTCTCTTTCCTAGACAAGGGAAACTGTGATAGATGCTACCTGGAAAATTGGGACACTCCCACCCTAATACTGTGACTGCGCTTTTCCAATGGTCTTAGCAAATGGCACATCAGGAGATTATATCCTGGGCCTGGCTCGGAGGGTCCCACCCCCACGGAGCCTCGTTCACTGCTAGCACAGCAGTCTGAGATTGAGCTGCAAGGTGGCAGCAAGGCTGGGGTGGGGGGCGTCTGCCATTACTTAGGCTTGAGTAGGTAAACAAAGCAGCCTGGAAGCTCAAACTGGGTGCAGCCCACTTCAGCTTAAGGAGGCCTGCCTGTCTTCTCCATAAAATTTATAATTTATTACTTATTTTTATTTAATGGCCATTTTTTTCTTTTTTCTTTCTCTAAGATTTATTCATGCTATAATCCATAACACAAGCATCAGGGCAAACATGCTTGGTTTAATCACAACTACTGAAATGTAGTACTTTCTTCTTTCTACAAGCTCTTGTCACTTTTGGAGGTCTAAAACGGCCTTGAATATTCTTTTTCAAAATATAGGAAAGTGCTATTTGTATTCTAAGAATTTAGCCAGAGTGTTAAGTAACTTTTAAAGGTACAATACGGTATTTTAAGGAAGAGTAAAGTTACAAGAATTTCTAATTCCATTTAAGATCAAAGCCTTAAAATGATGCATAGAGGTGATGAAAGTAGACAGAGTAAAGAGAGAGCAGATGTTCTAGGAAAATAAGTGGAAAGAATAGGTAATAGGTGTTTGAAGTCAGTAGTACAGCTTCAGATTTTTTTAAAGTATCTATTAATATGTAAAAATAAGATAACATTACCCTGTTTGGAATACTTTTATTATGCCCAATCTGTTTTCCTTTTAAAAAGACTTTATAATAATGATTGCACTGGGTCTTCTAGAGATGATTTTCCTTATACTCAGTTCTTTATTCATTTATGTATCCTACAAATATTTACTGAATACGTACTGTGTACCAGGTAATAACATTTTCACATTTCTAGAGCCCATTCTGCTGGCCAGTTAACGAATAACAAAGAATTAGAAAAGCCAAGCCACTTGGAGTTTTTTACCCATATATACCATTACTTGCACACTGCCAGAAGGGATTTTGCAAAACCAAAAATGTTTTCGATTCAAACCAACATTTTCTAGTAAACAGGTTTATTTTATCAAGGTAGGTCATAACTGGTGAAGCAGAAATTTTACTAAACAGATTTCCTTTGGATAAATTTGCAAATTTCATACTCAACACAAGATTCTATCTTATAATTAATTTTAAGACATTTAACTTAAAATGCAAAATAATAAAATAAGCAGGAGATATTTTATTTTTGCTATAAAGTATCTGTAAAGGTTAAATTTTAAAGGACTGATTAAAGAGTAAAGATTCATGCATTATATTTAATGTTAAACTAGACTATTTAGTACAGATCCTATTAAAATATGCTCTGATTTTAATAAGCACACATATTTTTAAATATAAAATCAAAAGAAAATTAATCTATTGAAGCTGCAAATTATTTTTACATTATAAATCACTGTCTTTATTATTTCATCTTGTAAAGTTGAAAGAATTAGCTTTCTTCAAGACTACTCTTGATATGCATTTTTATTAGCTTCATGGGACCATATACTGTGTGACTATTTAAAAAGAAAAAAAGGACACTATGTAACAGAATGGTTTCAGAGAAGTGTATGACTCCTGACACATTCTAAATTGGTTGCAAATTATAGTATATTAAGATGCAACTCTCTTACATGACCTAATTCTCCCAAAGTTATAGCATTTCCTAATAACATAGAATTTAATCTGTTTTATAAGAGAAAGCGATGCCATTAGTAGAAGGATTATACTAGTTTTATTAGATTGCATAATTCTAAAGCATCATAATATACAAAGGGTCTTCAAAGTTTATGAAAAATGCTTATCATAAAAAGTGCATGGATCTTAAAATTTTGGCCACGAAAATAAACTGCTCCTAAATTGTTATAACATGTCTGAACACAATGTAGTTTAAGGCACTAAAAATGATGAACAATCTGTTTGAAAAGGACAACAGAAATTCTGATAACATTGAAGAACAAACATCAAATTTATGGTGAAGCTAGGGTGGGAAGAATAGCAAAATCATTTTTGCTTTATGAAAGGTTTATGAGACCAACACCCTAAAGAAATCAGTAGTTTACAAATGAATAAGTCACTTTAATAAGGAACGAGAAAATGTTGAGGATGAAGTTCACAGCAGCAGACCATTTACAATTTACAAGAGAAAAATTATTGCCCATGCCCTAAATGTAGGACCCATGATTAGTAGTAGAAACAGTAGCCAACACCATAGACATCTCAATCCATCCAGCTTACACAATTCTGAATTCTTACTTAAAAACTAAAGCTAAGCAACCTCTCCACTCACTCAATGGGTGCCAAAACTGTTGCACTCAGATCAGCTGCAAACAAGAGCGGAGCTTTCCATGAAATTTTAAACAAGTGGAATCAAGATTCTGAAGCATTTCTTCAAAGACTTGTTAACAGGAGATGAAAGATGGCTCTACTAGTATGATTGTGAAGAGAAAGCACAATCAAAGCAATGGCTACCAAGAGGCAGAAGTGGTCCAATCAAAGGAAAAGCACACCAGTCAAGAGCAAAGTTCATGGCCACAGTTTTTTGTGATACTTAAGGCATTTTGCATGTTGCCTTTCTGGAGGGCCAAAGAATGATAACATCTTTTTTATTATGAGAGTGTTTTCAAGAAGTTAGCCAAAGTTTTAGCAGAAAAATGCCCTGGAAAGCTTTACTGAAGAGTCTTCCACCATGAAAATGGTCCTGCTCCTTCCTCTCATCAAACACAAGAAATTTTGTGGGTTTCTAGATGGGAAATCATGGGGCAAGAGCATCCACCTTATAGTCCTGATTTGGCTTCTTCTGACTTCTTTTTGTTTCCTAATCTTAAAAAGGGCACCCATTTGTCTTCAGTTAATAGTGTAAAAAAGATTGCACTGACATTGTTAAATTCCCAAGACCCTCAATTCTTGAGGAATGGACTAAATGGCTGGTACCATCATTTACGAAAGTGTCTTGAATTTGATGGAGCTTATGTTGAAAAAATAAAGTTTATATTTTCTATTTTTATATTTTAATTCTATTTTTTCCATCAACCTTTCAAAAAGTGTTCTTATACTAATAAAGCATGTATGTTTTTACCACATTAGGCTTAATATGATATTTGTTCTAAAACACTTAAATCTGCTTGGTCCTCAAAATGTCCACTGAGCCCAAGTGACCTGCTTAGACATTTTGAAGAATGTCACAATAGAATATGTGTGTATAGTGTGTATATGTATACACACATATATATACATTATACATGCATATATAAGAAAAGATATTCAAGTATATTAGCTTTATAATCCACTTTCTACAATGCAATTTAACCTAAAAGGGAAGCTATATAATAAAGTCAATATAAATAATAGTAAAGGTTTATGACAGTATGATATAGAACACATTTTTTGTTTGTTTTTTGCTTGGGGTGTTGTATTAGAAGACTCAATATTGTTAATATTCCAATCTCCCTCAAATTAAATCCATCTATGGATTTTATGTAATCAAAATCAAAATCCCTATAGAAATGGACAGATTATTGTAAAATTTATAGGGAAATGCAAACGACTTGGTATACCCAAAGCAATTTTACAAAATAACATTTTGGAGTACTCATGACTTGATTTCAAGACAATATACTTTTGTATCCTTTAACAAATCTTTCTATCCCTCCATCCCCACTGACTTTCCCAACCTCTAGTATCCTCTGTTCTACTTTTTATTTCCATGAGAACAACTTTTTAAGGTTTCTGCATATGTATGAGAATGAGTGGTGTTTAACTTTCTATTTCTGGTTTTACTTAACACGGTAACCTTCGGTTCCATCCATGTTGCTATAAATGACAGATTTCAACCTTTTTAGGGCTGAATAGTATTACATAGCATACAGACACCACGTTTTTTTATCCATTCTCTGTTGTTGACACTTGGGTTGATTTGTTTTATTTTCATTTTATTTTATTTCATTTTAAGTTCCAGGATACTTGTGCAGGATGAACAAATCTGCACATCCTGCACATGTATCCTGGATTCAAATCCTGTGTAAGTGTTCACATGTATGCCTGTGTATTTCTTGTTCTTTGTAAAATGTGTTTGCTGTATTTTTAAACCTTTTTTAATTTTTGAAGTAATTTTAGAAAAGTTATCAAACAGTAAAAAAAAAAATCCAGGTTTTAAAACAGTACTTAGATTTTACCATCTCTCTCAGTGACTGATAGATAGCTGGATAGACGGACAGACAGTTCTGTTCATCAATCTACGACTTTCTTCTTTATAATGTGAGATTAAGTTGTAAACATGATATCCCTTTACCTCTAAATGCTGAAATGTCGATTTTGTAAAAGCAAGAATATTCTCTTATATAACCTGAGTACTACTATCAATATTAGGAAATTTTTATTAATACAATGGTATTATTGACCTTAAAGACATTCACATTTCATTAATTGTCCAAATAGTGACCTTTATAGCCAAAACAAACAAACTACATATAATATATATTTAATATATATATTCACATTTAATATATATATTCTGGTCCAAGATTGAATACAAGATTGTTTCATTGAGTTTGCTTTTATTGTCAAAAATATTTTTTAAAGATACATGCTTATTTAAAAAGCATGCATAAAAATTCTGCATTCCTAGCAAATGTAGATGTATTTCTCAGGTTTCATTTGTTTATAAGAATTCTAAGAAATTTTATAGCCAACATTTTTCACAAGATCGTGTAATTGGAAGAATCGAATGTGATGGGAAGAATAAAACCAGCCTCCCTATCACAGGACACAAAGCAGTAAGAGAAGTTTCTACAGAGAATTTCCATGGTTCCTTTTTAGTGACGACCTGAATGACTCCATCAGATGTTTGGGTGTCAAGGGGAAAATACTAAGTAGCAGTTAGGGGGAAGAGCAACTGGCAGATAGAAACTCCACTTTCCCAGCATATCTAAAGGAAAATAAAAATTGATGGGACATGAAGTCCTTGCCCATGCCTAAGTCCTGAATGGTAATGCCTAGGTTTTCTTCTAGGGTTTTTATGGTTTTAGGTCTAACGTTTAAATCTTTAATCCATCTTGAATTGATTTTTGTATAAGGTGTAAGGAAGGGATCCAGTTTCAGCTTCCTACATATGGCTAGCCAGTTTTCCCAGCACCATTTATTAAATAGGGAATCCTTTCCCCATTGCTTGTTTTTCTCAGGTTTGTCAAAGATCAGATAGTTGTAGGTATGCGGCGTTATTTCTGAGGGCTCTGTTCTGTTCCATTGATCTATATCTCTGTTTTGGTACCAGTACTATGCTGTTTTGGTTACTGTAGCCTTGTAGTATAGTTTGAAGTCAGGTGGTGTGATGTTAGTGGGTGTAGCGCACCAGCATGGCACATGTATACATATGTAACTAACCTGCACGATGTGCACATGTACCCTAAAACTTAAAGTATAATAAAAAAATAAAAATTAAAAAAAATAAAGCAAAAAAAAAAATTGATGGGAAGACAGTAAGGTAGATAATCCGGGTATAATATATCACGAGCATGTCCACATTTTGTTAAATAATATTTCACAAGGTAACTTTTACATACATTTTTACTGCTAAATATTCAATTATATAGATTAGGCAATTAACTTTAGTTAGGTATTTTGATTGAAGTCTCTCCTACTATCAATAGGAGTATGATGAATGTATATATACTCTGTATTTAAATCTATGTTTTCTCTATAAATTTATGCAGTGAAATTGAGTTAACAAGAACACAAATTGGCATTTTGATAAAAATTTCCAAACTGCTATGCCAAAAAATGATGTATTATATACTTTAATTTTCAATTATGAGTTGCTAAAAACACTGAGTTTTCTCATATATATTAAATATTTATATTTCTTTTATCCTGAATTTACTATATGTTCTTTGACCATGCTTGCTAAATTTAAATAAATAATTCAAAACAGCCCTTTATGGAACATGACTAATAAGACTTTGTAACATATGTTAGAAATATTTTCCCATTTTATAATCTTTGAATATTCTTTATTATATATACACATGTTAAATTAATATAATGAAACATGCTTTATGCTTAAAAAACTTGTCTCTCTGTGCAAGAATTTTATTTGAATAAACTTTAGTAACAGCTTCTTTTAAATTTTGAAGGTAATGCTGTTCAAAGGCTGTACAAGAAAATTCCAAGTCAAACAAATACTCATGAGTGAGAAAAAGATGGGATTTTTTTTTCTTTAGAATCTCCTTTGCTCAATTTCTGGCTGTTCATGATCAGAGATAAACTGACATCTCTTACATTGCCATGCCCTTTGTAAAGTCTAGGCTTTTCATAATAATTTTAGATAAACAGTGATCACTTTTTAACATTTTTATTTTCCTGAGAATTCCACTTGGCATCCATCAGTCAAATTTGCTGCTGTTTCAAATGTGTTTATATAAATCATAATCTATTTTTCCGTAGATATCATGACAATATAATTTATTATCTAAACCAGAACACTTTTGAAATGGAAAATAAGCACAATTAAGAATTACACCAGAAAAACAAGCATAAACTTCATCTTTCCTAACCAAATGGAACTTACTGTTATTCAAATTGTAGATGTTACAAAAAGTTTAATGGTGTCAGCAAATATAAGCGTTGAGGACACAGATGTTTAAGATTTAGTTCTTGATTCCTTGGTGTCAAGAAACCGAGTCTATCAGGGAAGACATAAAAAGTAATCACCTGAAAACTGGGTTTTGTGTTTTGTGCTATGAGAGGCCTGAACACATTAGAGGTCCATAATGGTACCAAGGAGAAAGGAGATGCACAAAAGTGGTCCTCAGGGAAGACCATGAATGTTTTGCTCTTTGCTATATAAGCTGTTCATTTTAATTTTTAAATTTATTTTTGTCAGAAATATGCTTCCTCCCTTTTCCAATAACTTTGATTCTGTCTCTAAGACTAACACCTAATATGTCACCTCTTACAGAAAGACTTCCTTGATTGTCTCTCTCTTCTATCCCTCCTATGGTCTGAGTGAAACTCCTCTTATGTGAATATCTAGCCTACCTGTACATACCCACATCAATTTTATTGATATAATACACTCTTTTAACTTGTGATTTCATATTTTGTTCTAATTTAAAACAGATCCATATTGCAGAACTAGAACCCCGTAGGTATCTTTTATCTGAATCTCTCCAACACCAAGAAAAGCACCTTTATGTGTTCACGTTTAACTGTTAACGAGGGTGTTCAGTACACTTGGTTTCAGCCAAAAGACAAGAAGCTATATATGTGTAATTCAAAAGTTTCTCCAGTTTATTTATTGTATTTTCTTGGAAGTTACTTGAGAGTAAAGAATATAACCCTGCTAATCTAATCCTTCCAGCAGTACAGATTTTATGACAGTAAAGATTCATAAGTGACATAGTCCTGATCATATCAGTTTACTTCTCACATTGTAGCCCCCAAAGTCAATTAATCTGTCATTTGTGACATTACTGTTCCTAGTATTTCAGGTAAAGGGCTTATGGTTATTATAAAAAAAAAAGAAAAAATTTATCTGATAGAAACTTTGTGAAACCTATTCTTCTCTACTCGGGATTGTGCATTTTCCTAATGTTTCTGAGAGAAGAATCTCAGGTTACCTTGGTGGACACAGCAGTTTATCTCAGAGCCAGTGGAAGAGATACTTAAGGAAAGATAAAACACTTCCTTCACCTATCCAGAACATAATGTGCCTCCACTTTGCCTCCCACCTCCATGGCAATTTATTCTCAGTCCCCATTGCCTCTCTCCAATCTCAAAATTTTGGAGTTTTCCCATCTCAGTCCTTGGATCTCTTCTGGATTTCAGTCTTTTAGTCATTTCGTTGTTTCGTGAATTTGAACATACTCTACATGCTGACCACTTCAAAATGTGTATCTCTGGCCCAGTTCTTTCCTCTTAATTCAAGACTAACACTTTCACTTTAATGGTTAATATGTATTTCACATTTAATACCTCAAAAATAATTTTTTAAACGTCTCCCAAAACTACATTTACATTCCCCACACTAACAGCTCCCCACCCCCATTTCAGGAATATGAACTTTACTCTTGCAGTTGCCCAGGCCAAGAAGTTTAGAGTTGTGCTTTAGTTCTCTTACCCTCAACACTCCTCAACATTGGCACAGCTTAATCTTCTAAATGCATGCATATGTCAACCACTTCACTTTACCTTCCCTGGTAGCACTCTGTTCTAAGTCTGAATTATTATAACTTTTCAGTTGGTCTCCATGATACCACTCTTACTCTCATAGAGTCAACAGGAGAAACACTTAAGTCATATCATGCCACTTCTTTCTGCAAAATCCTCCAGTGGCTTCTCTTCACATTACAGCAGAAACCCAATTGCTTATAGTGGCAAACAAAGGTTCATATATAACACTCTGACTTAATCTTTGTTTCTATCACCTGCCTCCCATTACTCCATGCCATCTATACTGGCCTCAGTGATGTCCTATGAGCGTATGAGGGGGAACAGTTCTGCCTCCAATCCTCTGCCTTGAGTGAATGCTCTTTCTTCAGATGTACATAAGGCTCATGTTCTCACCTCCTTCAGATCTTCAAGGGGCTTTCTTTGAAGCCTCCCTTTACCAAAACACTGAGAAATTCAACTACCACCTCTGCACTCTCTGCCCCTTCTCTGGATTTTTTTTCATGATTTATCATGTCATCATTTGACATTTCAAATTTTACTTCTATTTTTAATTTTCTCTGTTCCTCAATTATGCTGATATTTTTGCTATATTCATACTCTAGCATCTCCAATATGCTCTCCAATAATATTTGCCAAATGCTGAATGAGGCTTTCAGTTCTCAAATCATATCGTGTACCTAGTCTGAATCAATGTTTATATTCAAAGCTGTACCTGAAGCCAGCCCGGTATCTATTTTAAATCAAAAAATCTTCTTGCTGATTTTTTTTGTCATATGTATTATGAAAGTCAAGAAAAGATCATTGCTTTATTTTACTTGCTGAATTTGAAACAATGTCTAGGTTTATAAAAATCCAGTGAGAGCTTTCCCAGAATAATATTATTGGCAGATAATTCTCTAAAATATTGAATTTTTATCCATAAGCTTGTATTGCCAGTATTTTTATAGACAACAAAAACTGTGAACTATAGAATGTCATGTGCCACAGAGATTCTAAAATTAACTACTAAAATTAATACATTGAACTTGGACTTAAAGAGCTCTGAGTTATCTTTGCTAAGTGGATTAGCTCAAATCTATTTCAAGACTAATATGTAAATTATTAAAGTATTATTACCAATTGGTAATATTTAAATTATTAAATTTAGGGGGAGGATAGCAGAAAAGCCACACAATATGGTTTAAGTGAAATTGCAAACAGTTATTTAAAAAACACTCTATCAGGTTTTGATTATCACCATGGTTAGTGAAATTGTGATCATCTACAGAGCCAAGGAATTAAAGTGATTTTATACTAGATAGTACATTCCAATATGTGTAGTAGTGTTTCTTTACATAATATCCTAACTGCAATTAGCATTTGTAATACTTAAATCTGGAACTTATGTCTAATCTAATCTTTTCTGAGGCAGTAATTTGCTTTGTTCTCTGATTTATATATATGTTTAACTGCCATGTTTCTGTTATAATAATTATTCAAAAGTTTTCAGATCTACAAGCATCTGGTAGGCACAAATGATCACCCAAGGGAAGCATCCCTTATATATTTTCCTTTACTGAATTTCAGGAAGTCCCAGACAATAATTTAGAAACAACAAATACTTTCACCGTCCAATTCTTCATAATTTGATTGGACAAATTTTAGTTGTCCAATAGATCAATATTTGACAGCCCTTTGTGTTTCTTAGAAAATCATTATCACTAACCTCTATACCTCTATTTCTTAACCATATCTAAACAGTAAAAATGTCTTTCTTAATGTCTTAAGTAGAATTTTAGACTTCTGACTTATGCCAGTGGAAAGAAGGGTGTTTATTTAATTTTTTGTGCTCCTACTCAATCTCACATTACTTAACAAGCTACAGCCTAAGGTTCTTCCGTTGAAACATCAACATTCTGGGCTCCCTCAGGATTTTAAGCATTATCATTCATATCTCAGAGAATGGATAAGCTCCACCAAAATTCTCACAGTTCTTTCTGAAGAAAAACTTTATACCAGTCTCTGTGTTAGGTTCTACACACACATAGGTGAGTTACATCAGCTTGAATCTCAAGGAGTTAAAGACACACTATATTTTTGTTTATAAAGCTCTTTCACACATATTATGGTTTAATCTTTATAATGACCTTTTGGTATTTTAAAAATAAGTATATTAGTGAATTATAATCCATAGTGAATTAAAATGCTCCTTTTTCTACATTAAATACTACTTTAATTTACCACATGAAACATTTTTATTATATACAATTATATATAGTACATTTCCTTAAAAATTACAGTATATTCACAAATAACATATGCATAAAAGAAGTTGGTATATAAAGGTATATAGTATGTAAAATAAGTGATGGGTATCTATTTGCCTTTGATGTTTTCACTTTTTAATATAATTTTTAAAATAATGGAAATAGGCCGGGCACAGTTGCTCAGGCCTATAATTCCAGGACTTTGGGAGGCCGAGGCGGGCAGATCACGAGGTCAGAAGTTCAAGACCAGCCTGACCAACATGGTGAAACCCCGCCTCTACTAAAAATACAAAAATTGGCTGGGCGTGGTGGTGGGTGCCTGTAGTCCCAGCTACTAAGGAGGCTGAGACAGGAGAACTGCTTGAACGCAGGAGGCGGAGGTTGCAGTGAGCCGAGATTGCGCTGCTGCACTCCAGCCTGGGTGACAGAGCGAGACTCCATCTAAAAAAAAAAAAAAAAGAAAGAAAGGAAATATATTAAATTGATAACCAGTATTATATATATATATATGCCTTGTTCTTTATTTTTTGGTAAACATTTTATTTGGAAAGACAAATTAGGTCACACAGATCTATCTACAAGTGACTGTGCTGCAACAGGAGTAACTAACATATCCCTCAACCTCCTACAGTCTATGACAATCACTTCCCAATAAATTAATAAGCAAGTCCCAATCAAAGATTTCCCAGATTGCTTTCCACACAAACAACATTATTCCGAGTGTCTTAAATACATATCCAATGGAAGAACATTTTAATTTCAAAGTTTTTATTAAGTAATTCAAATGAATCATAACTTGTGCTTTCCATACATATTACCCATAATGAGCAATCTATTAATCTATCAAAATGTACCTATAATTAAACTATCAATCTATTTTTTGTAATTGATAACATGTAAATAAAAATAAATTACCAGAAAGTTGAAATCATTTTATTGGTAATTTTACTTTGTCATATACATCAAGATAAAAACTGTCAGACTACACTAGATTCACAGACAATTGTTTTGGTGTTAAGAGAAAGCAAATTTATGGACTGCATAAAAAATAATTATAACAAAAGTAATTAAAAAGAGTAGATTTGAAGTTGCCTTGTCACTAAGAATCAAAAAAAATTGGCTAGAAATATTTTATTGTGCTATAAGTGAACATAGAGAATTTATATGTAACATACCTTCCTTTTGACATGTGTGAATGTGTATGTACTTATACACGTGTGTTTACATTTGCATGTGAATCTTTCTTCTTCTTTTTACTTTTCTAAAAGGAAAGCCTTTTATTTCCATACAAGCAAATCTGTGTTGCCATGAAATGAAGGATTAGGCGATTGGTAGTGAGATCTTGATAACAGTGGTAAGAAACTATGATATTAAAGAGGAAAGTTCTTTTGAAGGCTTAGCCAAGATAAACAATGACCTTGAGAAGCTGGGGTTTCAATGTAAGAAAGACACCACAGGCCTCCTGTTAGTAAATGCCAAGTAAATACAGATGCAGGTAGAATACACTCCATGGGATTTTGAAAGTACCTGATTCATAATAAAACAGTGCTTAAAATTGTAAAACTCCCTTTTCTTTTCTTTGTAAAAATTGCATGGAGTTGGCTGAGGTATTGTTCTTGTTCAAAAAACAGTTTCATAAAGAAATGTGTTAGAATCAAACAAGTAGATCAGCTAGTGCTATCACTTATATAAGAAAAAACATTACCATAAAAATACCCTTAAGAACTTTTTCTGACTCCATATTATGGGCTTCTAAAATTAAAACACGGTTCAAAGTAATTCAAACAGAGTCATCCTCAAAAGGCTTTGCCTGTATTAAGTCTCCTCTCCATGACAAAATGATCTTCCTCTTATTGCCTCTAAAAACAACCTCCCAGAATGTTCCAATTGATGTTCCAACTTTCTTATTTTGTTGGCTCTAAAAGCTTGCCTAATACTGAGATGTATTTAAGGCTGACACTGATATCAGACATCAGATTCTACACCTTCGAAATTCAGGGTGACATATATGAGGTTTCTTTATTAGGAGTAGAGAATATAAAATGTCTAATATAAAATTGCCCCCTAGTGGCAGTAAAAAGCTCTCACTGATAACCACCTTTAAAAATAAGGGTCAAGGCCAGGTGCAGTGGCTCACTCCTGTAATCCCAGCACTTTGTGGAGTTTATCCATTCTCCACCCACCAAGGCAGGCAGATCACCTGAGGTCAGGAGTTTGAGACCAGCCTGGCCAACATGGTGAAACCCCGTCTCTACTAAAAATAAAAAAAATAAAAATACAAAAATTAGCTGGCCGTGGTGGCAGGTGCCTGTAATCCCAGTTACTTGGGAAGCTGAGGCAGGAGAATCGCTTGAACCCAGAAGGCAGAGGTTGCAGTGAGCTGAGATCGCACCATTGCACTCCAGCCTGGGGGACAAGAGCAAGACTTCATCTCAAAAAAAAAAAAAAAAAAAAAAAAAAAAAAAAAAAAAAAAGGTCAAATTGAGTTTGGTAAACTTATTTCAACTCTTTTACTTTCCATGAGGTGTAGACTTATATAAAGAACACAGTAATAAATGTTATTAAGTCTCACCCTCTCTAGAATGAGAAATAGAATTTGATTGCAACCATATCATGAGAATTTAGCAGGGCATAAAACAGCTACTTAACCTCCAGCCTTATAGCAACCCTTTATCCTCCATAACTTTCTTTTAGAATCATGACACATAAAACACACTGCTACTAGAGAATACAATATATCCCAACTGGAGACTCTATCCATCTTGATTAACATGTAATCAATAACGTTCCTTTTATACAATTAAGTCATCTTGAGTCAAGTAAGTGACATAACTTTTTAAGATGACAGAAATATAATTTTTTCCCAAAAGGTCATAAGGAATTACAATTTCCATAGAAAATATTACTTTATATAAATATCAGGGCTATAAGAAACATTGCCAGGGCAATCTACTTTTTAATGAAATAATTAGTAAAGTCTTAAAAATTGTTTTGCAAATAATTAACAATGTTAAAATATGTTAAAAGAGACTATTAATACTTTCTGCTCTTTTTCATCCACATAACTCATTATCTAGCAAAGAAACAAGACCAACAAAATAATATATCATCTCAGTTCTAGTAACTATTAGACATTGTAAGGCCCTGTAATTGCCAATTAATAAAACCAATATTCCATTAGCATTTTTACAATATATCACTTTTTCTTCTACTCCTTTTCCTTTTCTTTCTCCTGCTTTTTTTTTCTTTTAACAGTCTTTTCTCTGTCTTTATGTCTACAAAATGGCTACAAGAAGTCTTAGGTATTCTGTTTTACAACACATATTTCAGACATTGACTATTTTATAATAAACTTAATTCTAAAGAGCAATAGCATTGGATTCATATCAGTGTATTGTAATAATTATGCTTTCATTATTTCATCTTTGTTCTTGAGCCGTAATAACCTTGAAGTGTTTGCACTAATACTGTTGTAGTTGTTCTTAAACATATACAAATTATAAAAATAAGGCAATGGGAGTAAGAGTTTAGATTTACAGCAAACTATATGTTTCTGCTAGTTTTGACACTAGTTTGCAGTTACCCTACCAACCTGAGCCATAAACAGAAACTAAGCACAGATTGGATAATAAAAGCATAATATGTATATATGAAGGTTTTTCTATGGAGAAGGAATACAAATGAGGGAATATTTTTTAAATTTTAAAAAGTGAATAGGTATCTATAGGAAAGCCCCATTAATGGATATTGCGTGTGTTTTTAATTGTTTTTCTGGACTGAACACGGTTCAAAGCAAAAGAAGAGTCCTACCCTGCTTATAGTTACAAGCACAAAAGAATAAAAAACAGAGGCTCAAATACACATTCTTTAAAAACACGGATCGCATGTTCTATTGACAGGCACAAAACATAGAAAGTAGAAAGCAGTTAAATGTACATTTTCATATTACTGAATCTGAAAGTGCCAGGAATTTTTTTTTATCTTCCTCCAAATGTTTCCTTTATGTTTGTATAACATAAATAGAAATGAAGTCTATTCAAAGCTGTATTTTATTGACCTGAAACCAAAGGATGAATTTTATAGTTAACTACTTAATTGGGTACCCAAAACAGCACTGCTCTTTGTTAACAAATTCACGAAATGTAGGCATCTTCAATACAAAGAAGGACTTATGCAATAATCAGGATTTTGTGTAGCACACTGAGTCTTTAGTGGTGAGACACATCGGACATGAACACTAAAAGTTTTACCATGTCAGGTTTCAGGGCAGTGGCATTTAACTCATTGATGTATCTTGCAATCAGTGGACAATTTAAAAGGTAGAAATATGGTAATTAAATCCTAGAAACTGGTTATGAAAAACTCGGCTTACATTTGCACAAGTCAAGCAGTATGGGCACATTTATCAAAAGGAAAACATACTATCCAAAGTCTGTCACATTTGGGGTTATGGAACAATATAAAATGAGATTAATGTGTAAATTATATAAAATACAGAGCACAATTTTAAATAATATGCATAAACATGGATGATAGTGCTAGATCAATCAGAAATGGAAAAATAAGAAATTCAATGAAAATCATTAAATTGAATTACAAGTATAATTGAATTATAATCATTCACTTAGAATCAGATTCCTATTAATAAATGAACGCACAGTCCACATAGACTGTTAGGTAAGATTTTTCCATACACTGGCTTAGAAAAGCAGTTAGGTGCTTACCATTGTTAATGTCCTCAATACTAAACCCTTTGCTAAAATTTAAAAAAAAATAAAGTAAAATAGAACACTGAATAAATATTTGGCAAATTGAATTTAGGCATGCAGATTTCTCTCCTCCTCTAATACTTTTATGTAAAGGATTTTTGACTTGGCTGTTTTTGCTCCTATATGTGTTGATATCCCTACTAGGCTTTCAATTTTCTAATTTTTTTTTAGATTTTTAATAGGATATTGCATTTATACACAAAATAATATATTGGGAAAATGTAAATTTTTTATGAGGTGAATTAGAAGCAGTGTGGTTAGGAAGTACAGCCTCTGAAACCAAACTACCTGGTTTTGATCTACCTCAGTCACTTGCTAGCTTTGTAACATTGAAGAGGATATTTACTCATGCTGTGCCTCAGTTTCCTCATTTGTAAAACGAGGATGTAATTCTGTATTTGCTCCTTCACAGATTTGTCATGAGAATTAAATGAGTTAAAGAATCACAGAATTTAAAGCAGTGCCCAGCACTAGATATATATTCAGTAAATAGTAGGTCTTATTGTAGAATTATGTTATTAATCAATTTCCTTTTTCTTAATTTTTACAATTGTAAAATCATAAGCATAGAAATTTTAAAGAAAAATTATTGAAACAACTGAAATAGCACTCTTCTAAGACTTAAATTAGATGCTACTAAAATGTACAGGCTAGCATAGCCAATGACCAAATAGTGTATTTTAATTCCAAATTAGCGCACCCAAAATTTCTGTTTACTCAAACTGTTTAGAAAGCTGACATTTTTATTTTTTCTTGAGGGGGTCTCAGTTCCTGACCAACTCATCAGATTGTTCTTTTGTGTGAGCAAAAAACAAACTTAATTCCTTTCTTTCTGACTTTATGTGATCCTTACAATTAATGTTATTGAATCTAATTAGAGCTCTCCATCTGAGTATTGATGATAACACATTTTTAGGGAAAAATTATAATGCTGAATAAGCAACAGGGACTATAACCAACATTCCACAAAATTCAAAGTAGTCTCTAAAAATTCCTAGAGGTTACAGGAAATAATGCACAGCTGTGATAAATGTTAAAAGAGAAGTGTCTACATAATGTCAAAACACTCAAAGTGAAAGTGAACATCTCAATGAGGCCTCCAGATGCTTTCCCCACCTGTCAGTGAGCTCCTGTATGTCCATACAGCATCCTTAGCTCTCTACATGGAAACAAGTATCAAACTGGGTATAACCATTGCCTGCAAACCCACCACCAAGTCCAGGAAGCTTTGACAATGTATTGTGTTAACTTCTCACCTTCTTATCCCTAAGACGAGAACTATTTATATTTCGAGCCATAAGGCCAAAATAGCTTTTACGTTATTTTGCTATTTAATGTCAGAAAGTAGCAATTGCAGAAATACATGTGTGTTTCTGTACTGTACACATGACATTTAGTTCAAATTTTAATGTTTCAAGTGATTTGGGAGCAGTGACTAAAATCTGAACAACTATAGCAGCTAAGAAGTGAGAAATTCTCTCTAGCAAACTAGTCTATGTCTATCATTCTCTAATGTGATGTGTTTCTAATTTTTCACATAGCCTTATTAAAAGTTGCATGAGTACATAATATAATTTAGAAGGGCTTTCTTTTCATATGGTTGGCATCTGCAGAGGAGTTAATATTTGTTCTGGGCATCAGTGAGTACTAGAGATAAAATTAAATCTAACGCGTAGATCTCTTTTTCATCTAAGAAATCTCTTCTAAGCCTCGTTGACTGAAGGCCCAATATATATGTCAGGATATGGGGAACAAAAGAGGAAAATAAAAGTCTGAAAAAAATAGTTCTCTAATTCAATTTTACATTTTCTGTAATTTTATTTTATATACTAACTTGCTACTTAAATGTCTATTTTAAGTTTCTATAAAAATTAATTTAGAAAGATAAAATTCATTTGTATGTTTTTAAGTACCTTGTTAGAAAGAATTAATTGAAAGACTTACCAATTGAGGTATTGCAAAGCACTATAAATAGAGTAACTTACTAAAGGGAATTTTTAAAATCTCATTTTTATTTGAAATTGACTTAGATAGTAATGTTCATTAAATACTCTGTTGACTTTTATGTTTTGTTTTGTTTTACCATAATTAATACGATAGTCACATAGGACACAAATTCAGTGAAATGTTTTTATTCTTCTTTATGATTTACTTCTTACACAATAAAATAACTCCAAACAACATATTTTAACATTTCCATGGGCAGAAAAAGTCACCTATTTGTACATATGGGTTTCAAGAAATATGTTGAGCAAATCACTTCTGTAGGAATATATTTCCATAGCATAATAGTGATTATTATTTATATTTTTAAAAAGAGGTTTTTAAAATTATATGAATAGTAAGCTCAAAAATCAAGAATATTTTTTCACTTCCACTCATATAGAATTTAGATATTTTTCATGCTATGTTTGAGTCACTTTAAATGTTTAACATAAACATGTATCTTATTATAACAGTCCAAAGCACTCTCTTGGCCTGGGTCTTACGAAAGACTACAATAGATGTTGGATATGAAATATGTTATTATATATTTTTCCAAGTTATCAATATTGTGTCTATAGCACAGAATACTAAAATTTCAGTAGTATATGTTTAGAGGTTCTTGTCTTTACTATAAGGATAGAGAACATCTACCTTCCCTTGATTTACACACACACACAAACACGTACACACATGTGTACATTGTAATATGTATGGTAAATACTTGAACATTTTACATAAGTAAAGTAGACATAAATAATGTGGCTTAACTATTAGAGGAGCTTGGCTGCATTCCCTTCGGAAATTAGTTGTAGGAACTCATACCTGCCTTCCAAATATCTCCTTAAAAGTTAACTAACCTCTATTTTCTCGAACTAATTTTTAATGTTGAAGATTAGAAGTCAGGAATTTTAACTTAATGAGGCAAGAATATATTCAAATAGAATGAGAGAAATGTTAAAACATCAAAACAAAGAAATCCCAGCCTTTGTTACAAGGAATGCAAAATCAGCCATTTTGATTATGTATCCACAGCAGATACAAAAGTTAAATTTTAAAAATTAAAAAAAAAAAACACTGGAGGGAGGCAAGGACAAAGTCAATTGTTATATAGTAGTAACCAGGAACATAGTGCCAATTTAGACCATGTCCATACCATGCCAGAAATATCACTCTCATTAATCTCTGTAGTTTATATCATATAGGCAAAGTATAGATATACACACTTATTTGGATCATTCATTGCATGGCATATTTTTTCATTAATAAAAACTTTACCTTTAGGAATATTAATGTACCTATTAAAAAGAATAAGCATGGCATTCAGGATCTTATGAAAACCTCATTTTATTTTTACTATTTATAATTGATCAGTGGGGAAAGCTTTTCTCTTACCACTAGATGAAAATTCTTCAAGCTCCATGATTTTTTTCTACAAAATGTTAAACAGTATATAGTTGCATGGCCATGTTAAGATAGACAGTAAACAATAAATCAGCATTTAAAAGGGTCCAGTCCAAAAAAAAAAACAATCTTCATTCGATGGAAAGACATTTTTCTTTCTGTGCCCTAGCAAGTCAGTTGATGGCTGGCAACCTATGCTGGGGCAAAGGGTTATGTTTGGCATCATTCTTTTCCAGTATACATTATGTATCCACCACTCATCTAATGCAGCTTTTGTTTTGTTTTGACAGATAAAATTATATGATATCATGTTTTTAAATATATATAAGGCATACCTCATTTTATGGCACTTCACTTTATTACACTTCTCAGATGTTATTTTTTTTTCACAAATTGAAAGTTTATGGCTTCCCCATGTCAAGCAGTCTATAGGCACCATTTTCCCAATGGCATGTTTTCACTTTGTGTATCTGTCACAATTTGGTAATTCTCACAATATTCCAAACGCTTTATTATTTTATCTGTTATGGCACTCTGTGATCAGTTATCCTTGATGTTACAGTTGTAGTTGTTTTGAGGTTCCACATACCGCACTCATGTAAGACCGCAAACTTAATCAGTAAATGTTGTGTGTGCTCTGACTGCTCCACTGACCACGTACTCCCACAAATCTCTCTTCTTCCCTGGCTTCCTTATTTCCTCAGACACAAGAATATTGAAATTAGGCCAATTAATGACCCTACATTGTCCTCCAAGAGATCAAGTGACAGAAAGAGTTGCACATTTCCCACTTTAAATCAAAAGCTAGAAATGATTAAGCTTAGCAAGGAAGTCATGTCAAAAGCCAAGACAGTCCTCTTGCACCAAACGCCCAAGTTGTGAATGCAAAGAAAAGGTTATTGAAGACAATTAAAAGTACAACTCCAATGAACACACAAATGATAAGAAGCAAAATAGCCTTTTCGCAGACATGGAGAAAGTTTTAGTGGTCCAGATAGATCAAAACAGCCACAAAATTACCTTAAGTCAAGGACTAATTCAGAGCAAGGCCCTAACTCTCTTCAATTCTATGAAGGCTAACAGAGGTGGGGAAGCTGTAGAAGAAAAGTTTCAAGTTAGCAGAAGTTGGTTCCATGAGGTTTAAGAAAAGAAGACATCTCCATAACATAAAAGTACAAGGTAGAGATGCAAGTACTGATAAAAACGCTGCAGCAAGTTATTCAGAGAATCTAGCTAAGATCATTGATGAAAGTAGGTACACTAAACAACAGATTTTCAATGTTAACAAAATAGCTTTATATCAGAAAATGCCATCTAGGAATGTAATAACTAGAAAGAAGTCAATGCCTAGCTTCAAAACTTCAAAGGACAGGCTGATTCTCTTGTTCACAGCTAATGCATCTGGTGATTTTTAAGAAGCCAATGCTCATTTGTCATTCAAAAACTCCTGGGACCCTTAGGAATTATGCTAAATCAATTCTTCCTGTGCTCTATAAATGGAACAGCAAAGCCTGAATGATGGAGCACCTTTTTACAGCATGGTTTACTAAATACTATAAGCCCACTGTTGAGACCTACTGCTCAGAAAAAAAAGATTTATTTCAAAATGTTACTCTTTATTGACAATATACCTGGTTATCCAAGAGGTCTGATAGAGATGTGCGAGGAGATTAATGTTATTTTCATGCCTGCTAACAAAACATCCATCCTGCAGCCCATAAATCAAGGAGTGATTTTAACTTTCAAGTCTTATTATTTAGGAAATATATTTCTTAAAGCAATACTTGTCATATGTAGTGATTACTCAGAGGGATCTGGGCAAAGCAAATTGAAAACCTTCTGGAAAAGATTGACTATCCTACATGCCATTAAGGACATTCATGATTCATGGGAGGAGCTCAACATATCAACATTAACAGGAGTTTGGAAAAAGTTTATTCCAACCCTCATGGATGACTTTGAGGGTTTCAAGACTTCAGGGGAGAAAGTAACTGCAGATGTGGTGAAAATAGCTAGAGAACTACAATTAGAAGTAGATCCTGAAGATGTGACTGAATTGCTGCAATCTTAAGATAATATCTGAATGATGAGGAGTTGCTTCATATGGATCAGCAAAGAAAGTGGCTTCTTGAGATGGAATCTACTCTCCTGGCGAAGAAGCCATGCACATTGTTGAAATGACAACAAAGGATTTGGAGTATCATACAAACTTAATTTATAAGGCAGCAGCAGGGTTTGAAAGGATTTACTCCAATTTTCAAAGAATTTCTGTTAAACAGCATCACATACTGAAGAGAAATTTTTTACGAAAGGAAGAATTAATTGATGCAGCAAACTTCATTGTTTTCTTATTTTAAGAAATTGCCACAGCCACTCCAGCCTTTAGCAACCACCACCCTGATCAATCAGAAGCCATCAACATGGGTACAAGACCCTCCATCAGCAAAAATATTACAATTAATTGAAGGCTTAGGTCATCGTTAGCATTTGTTAATGATAAATTATTTTAAATTAAGGTATGTACATCCTTTAAACATAATGTTATTACATACTTAATAGACTATAGTATAATGTAAACATAACTTTTATATTAATGAGAGACTCAATAAAGCATGTGATACTTTATTCCAATATTCACTTCATTATGGTGATCTGCAACCAAATCCACATATTATAGAGGTTTGCCTGTACATTGTGGAACGGACAAATCAAGCTAATTAGCATATGCATTACCTCACATCACTGTTAGTTTTGTAGTAAGAACACTCAAAATCTTGGCATTTTTCAAAAATATGATATATTATTATTAACTATGGTTACCATTTTATACAATAGGTCTCTTGAACTTATTCCTCCTGTTTAACTGAGATGTTATACCCTTTGATCGACATCTTTCAAATTCCTCCCCCACCACTGCCCCAATTGCTGGTAACCACCATTCTACTCTCTTCTTCTATGAGATCAGTTTTCCTAGATTATACATTTGAATGACATGGTGCAGTATTTTTCTTTCTGTTCCTTGCTTATTTTACTTAACCTAATGTTTTGACCCACAGTCGGGGAAAAATAGGAAGCTTCTAGAGACAGCATACCAAAATTTGCCCAAGCCTGGTACCTGGTGTTCTCCTAAGCAAGCACTGGCACTTCTCCCAGTGGGGCTTTCTATTATCCTCCTGCTCTCCTGGATGTGCTGATCCACTTTACACTACACTCTTCCTGTTGAAGCCTCCTCCTTCTTCAGAAGCTTTTCCTTGCCCAAGATTTAATATAGCACCAGACATTTCTCTCTGAAATGTCTGAAGAGGCCCACCATGGGAAAGACTACTGCATCCTTGCCTGGCCTTTGGTGGGAATGCAGTTATGTCCCACACTTAGTCCTCTGCCTACTCTCCTTATCGCCCTCAGATGTGAGTGAGGAACAAGTCTATTATGTCTCTCAACGTAAAGAACACCTCAAACTCTCTAAGGCATTTTGTTGAAGTCCATTTTGCCTAAGTTTGAGAAAAAGGAAGCAGCATCCTCCGCTTCTGGCTCTTTGGTGTAAATAGGGGCTTATGCAAGGCAATAGCTCATCTCAGGAAATCCGCTCATGAATGCTCCATTATTTTTGTCAAATTATCATTCCCACTCATATGAGGCTTAGGGTTTGTTTTGTTTTGCTTGTTTTTAAGAATCATTGAACTTTTTCTCTAGCAGGTTTTTTTTTTTAAGTTTTGTCTTTTTCAGAACTTCCTTTGGTATCTGATATCTATTGAATTTGGATGTTTCTATACAAATGCTAAAATTAACATCTTTTTTTTTTTACTAGGTAGGTACTAGCATCTCTGTGGAGAAATCACTTTTGTGAAATGTAACTAATATTTATCATCCTCATAAAAGTGACGAAGTAGACTGGGCACGGTGGTTTACACCTGTAATCCCAACACTTTGGGAGGCTGAGAAGGGCGGATCATGAGGTCAGGAGATCGAGACCACCCTGGCCACCATGGTGAAACCCCATCTCTATTAAAAATACAAAAATTAGCCGGCCATGGTGGCGGGCGCCTGTAGTCCCAGCTACTCAGGAAGCTGAGGCAGGAGAATCGCCTGAACCAGGGATGCAGAGGGTACAGTGAGCCGAGATCGTGCCACTGCATTCCAGCCTGGGTGACAGAGCAAGACTCTGTCTCAAAAAAAAAAAAAAAAATTGATGAAGTAAAGATGTCTGCATTCCTATTAAATTAACTAGTGCTCAAGTGGAGCCCAAGGGTCCAGAGATGGAATTGCAACATTGTTTACCGGAAGTAGATAGAAATCTGAAGAGTTAGATGAGGTGTTCAGATTAGGATGTGCTAAGCATCAATCAAGTGTAATTGTGTTAAACATAAGAAGTGGGGAAAAAAGATTTGGAAGAAAAAGAGTAAATCCCAGAAATCATTAAAAGCAGATTTTAGTCAAGTGGAACTTAAGAATATTTCGACTAAAAAAGCCAGGCTGCCTATTATCTTTTACTGTTGATCGCTGAAAGCATGACATAGACAACAGACAAAATTAAAAACATAAATTTAATGCAGGCAGGCTGTTCATTATACTTTTGTTTTTGCTAATGTGATGATTTCCTTGAATTGTATTAGCAAAATAAAGGAGTGATTAATACATTGATACCAAGGATCATATGAAGGCTCACAAATGAAGAACATCAACCATGTTAAAGTAGGTTTAATTATCAGTTATCAAATAGTTTTAATGTAAAGTAGCAAAAGAGTAGATAATTCAAAGTCAAATTGTGCTCAAGTTCCTACCAGAAATGGGAGAGATAATTTCTGCCAACGTGGACAAGTTACATAATCATTCTATGACTATTTTCAAATACCTATCAGACATATTCTAACTCTGGTACCAAAATTCTGTTTTTCTAGTGAAGCTCATAGGTGTCCAGGACACTGGAAATGGGAAAGCTATTCTTTATTTCAAATCACTTTGAATTTTTCCTTTTATTTATTGATATGGTTTGGCTGTGTACCCACCCAAATCTCATCTTGAATTGTAGTTCCCATAATCCCAACATGTCGTGGGAGAGACCCAGTGGGAGGTAATTAAATCATGAGGGTGGTTTCCTCCATGCTATTCTCATGATAATAAGTTCTCACGAGATTTGATGACTTTATTAGGGGCTCCCCCTTTACTCTGCTCTCATTGTTTTCTATCTTTCCACCATGTGAAGAAGGACGTGTTTGCTTCCTCTTCTGCCATGATGGTAAGTTTCCTGAGGCCTCCCAGCCCTGCAGAACTGTGAGTCAATTAAACCTCTTTCCTTTATAAATTACCCAGTCTCAGATATGTCTTTATTAGCAGCATGAAAATGAACTAATACATTCTCATTTACATATTACTCCTTGCCATTCATCTAATATTTAGAATCTATCATTTTGGAAGGGAGACTGGACCTCATAACTCACTCACTTACCAGTCAATGAGAAACCTGCCTTTCTGTCTACTTCAGTATTCTTCATATAAAGTCTGTATTTTTATTTTTCTGTTCCCTTTTTCACACTCTGTCTTCCTTTTCATGCCTTCTTACAATAATAACAAGCACCCAGCCCTACAAATCCTCAAAAACAGACCAATAATTTTAATTTGGCAAGGTTTCTTAGCCTGTAATTATTGTGGATAACTCAGACATAATATATTATTCTAATTTTAAAATTATTTTAACTCCCATTCTAATTAGTCTGCTTTAGAGAAGAATCACTGCATTTCATAGGTGGTTGCATATTACAGCCGGGGGATTACTGAATAAATCTTAATAAAAATGTTGAAATGCTGTGGTAATATAAAAGCTTTCATTGCACCTATGAATGATATAATTACAGTTCTTTTAGATTTAATCCAATATAATCATAATAATTAGAAGTTTTTGACATTTGTGGCTTGCAATTTGAGATAGGTATTAATGCTATGACTAATTTCACTACACATTTGAGCACACTTGTTTCAATGTAACATCTTTAGAAAGCAAAGACAAAATATAAATGTTATTTACCTGCAAAGTTTCCAATTGATCTTCATTTTTAAATGATTTTCTCTACTAAAACAATTAAGAGTTTGTTGGCTATTTAGAGATAAATGTGGTAATAATTTCATTCTTTACATACTGAAAAAATATATTAAAAATTTATGCATCTCTCTGGGCATATATAATATAAAATAGCAGAGGAAATCCATACACATAAAAAAAACATTCAAAGCAAATGAGGAAGAAAAGAAGAAAGAGTGCTCTATTCTAGCTAATTTCATGCAAGTTATTGTGGTTCATTGTGCAAAGCAACCTATATTGTCTTTTTTTAAATTATAGATACTGTGGCCGATTTAAGAGACTCAACCAATATTACAAATCTTATCAGCTGTAGAGAGATTATTTCATCCCTCCAACAGAGTTTAGTAACTATTATCTTTTTCCTAGTTTGTGCCTTGCTGAGCGTAAGAACCAAAATACCAATATAAAATGTGGACTAGATCACTTAAAAATGTTGAAACCAATTTCTTGCCCTTGCTTGCAGGTCAAGATTGGCTAAACCTGTTAATTAAACTCAATCATAATATAATTATATAAAAGTTTTCATACAGACGTATGAGTTTGTCTTGGAATTAAAGACTGTTTGGTGCTAGTATCTTAAGTCTCTTTTTTTTTTTTTTTTAACTTTTCCACATCCAGTTTTTGTCTAACCCAATACTACCTTTGTATTATACTTGTAGTAATAAAGATGCTGGACTTGGGATAGTCATATTTCTTTCCTGGTTCTCCTGTAGATGAAATAACTTCTCCCCGAATAGTAACATAGGTGAAGGATTAGTGTCATGATATAGAAAAATACTCATCTCCCCAATTAATATTATAAAAAATATCCTGATTATATACATGCCCACTGTTTCCACAGAGAAGAAAAACTCAAAGTAGTACAGAAAACCCTTCATCATTTACACTGTTTTATTCGAATCAATTGTTTATACATAAATAATGTAAGACCTGTATATTGTATTTATGCAGTACAGGATATTTAAAGAAAAATAAGATATTATCTTTGTCCTCAAGTAGACAGACACTATGTTCAATAGTAATTCAAAAAAGAGGAGCCCAATTAAGAAAAAAAAAACAAAAATGCAAAAATCCTGGATTGTCATTGTCCATGTCATTGAGATATACAGTGAATTTCACAGCTATATTGACTTCAGGTTACAGGACTGTAAGTTCCAACACAAGAGGAATATATATAAATATATAACTTAACTGGGTAGCAAGAAAAGCACAATACATAAAGAGAACATATTACTTAGGTGATATGAACAATAAGTGGTGGAAATAGAAATCTAGGATGTTATACTGTAGTGGTATACTTGCGAATAGAGAAATAATCAGCATGGTAAAAAGGATCTTTCGCCTTTTGTTTGTGATCAACTGCAAGCTAAGAAGTTAACAGAGATAAATAGAGAATGTGAACTAAATGGCAGGTAATCTTCACAGGAGAATGGAATAATAGCCACTTTTATTCAACCATTTGATGAAAGAAGGAGAAGTATACCTCCATGACTCGTTTCAAAGCAAGGCAAAATGTGTACCATACATCAAAAAAAGCAGAAAATTGCCAAGAAAAAGTAAAAGAGAGCAATATTAGAGCACTGATCTGAATGAACTCCAGCTGTATAAATTTACTCAGCTGTCTGAAACAACGACTTAACCCAGGAAAACATAAAAGTGCAATGGGATTTCAACCCACAACTCAAGATTAATAAAGCACAGCACATCTCAAAGGAAAGGCAATCCAATCACTAGCTTTTTTAAAGTTTATATCATCTCTTCCAAAAAGATGAATCAAAGACAATGTATACCCAAAACAGGAGACTCAGTACTTTATTATAATCAGAAATGTCTATAATAAATTGTAAGTTCCCATGCTTGGAACTGCATTGGGTAGGTATTATGGAAGAAGGAAAAAGAGGTTTGTCAATTCATCCTGACAACATATGAATGAAATGGGAATATAATATATCCTCCTTAATGACTGAGCAGAAGAAACCCTGACTATATAAGCACACAGCTCACACAGACACACGCAGCAGAATAAGTAGCACACATATTGGTTCTATTCATCTGAGTTTTAATATCAAACACTGTCTCTCAGAAAAAAAAATATGTTTCAAGAAGGATTATTTAGATTAATATTTCATTTAAATTCAAACTATAACAATATTCCTTATTGCCACCGGTTCTAAAACACAAAAAGATTTCTCTGAAATATCACATAGCAATAGCATAGATTCTTTTAAAAAGATGGCCTACAAAAAATAAGAATCAGAAATAGTAGTTATTTAGACAGACCTTAACTAAGATACACATGAGCTTTCCCTCAAATGGTTAGACAAAAATGGCCATGGGCACTAATATTTCTGTTTAATTTGCCTCTAGCAACTCTTTCAAAATCTGTGGATGCCCTGACTGTCCCCCACACCAGGGGTTCTACCTTAAAAGCAACAAATCTAAGCAGAGAAAAATTATTCTTTATCTCAAGTATACTGAAAGGATCACGTACACATCACCTAGCCCAGTATGTGAACTAATAGTCAAACACTCAATCACATGCGAGTCTCAACCATGAAACCTTGGATGGAACAGAAACCAGTGTGTATAGACTAATAGAAAATAACCTTGAAGGGTTTTTTTTGCCACGGTGGTAAATGCAAGTTGTCCCTTGTAAAACACTAATAAAATAGCATTTTTCTTACAGTTATGTTAAAAAAAATAACGTTTGTTGATTTATCTGAAAGACACATATATGATTCTTTTGTAAAATAATTTATTATTAGATTAATTGTATAATTTCACCTTGTGCTCTTCACTGGATTAGATTTAACTCGTAACAGTCTTTCTCTCCCTATAAATTTTTCATATTAACATACACAAAATTATCACACTGATCTATTCTACAAAAAAATAAAATGTAAAAGTGGTATCAACACAACTCCAATTACTTCGGTATGAGCCATTTCATACTGAAATGGTGAGTATAATCACAGCTTGAAATGTAGTCCCCAGTTGAGAAAATTTATCAAAGCAAGCTAGTCACTGTCTTCTACCTTCTGTTTTCATTTATTAACAGAATTGTGTACTTTTTATTTTCTAAATGTAGAACATGAACTTCATATTGAGCTGTACATTTAAATGGCTTTCTCTGATTAAATGTTATGAATATCCCATGAAATAATCATTTTTGGTGTCATGGAACTTTTTTAATGTCAATTCAATATTAGAAAATGATTATTTGTTTTCTTTTATAAAGAACTGAATTTTAAAGGTCATTCTTTCTCTTACATATTTATGAGGAACAATAAAAATTGTTAATTTTATTCCTTTATTATCTGAGTTCAACTAGGCACACTCTAATACTAGATGGCAAAATTCTAGAAAGTGTATTTTAAAAGAGAAGTAAACAGAAAAAGAAAATTACATAAAATGGTTGATTTACATCTCTTTGAAAGTGTTGCCTGAAAGTCAAAAGTGATCATCTTCCTACCAAGACATGAAATACGGGCAGAACAACATGTTAATTAAACTTGTAAGCAGGAAACCGTTTGTAGTTAGAGACAGTGTTTTCCACAAAACTGAAATTCCATTAGTAGCGATTTGCTGGGGGTTGGGAGGTATGGGTGCTGGTCCAAGGAGTCATTTTCAGGAAGGGGCCAAATGCTGCTAAATATTGCTCAGGTTCCAATGCTACAAAAAATTCCCTAGGGGACACTTAGAATATATTGTTACTCCAAGTGTTTCTTTCTAAAGATATGTTTAAAAATACAAGTTGTGCATCTTAGAACAAAGTAATAGGGGGAAAAAACCTTAAATCTGAAGGTTTCTATGTTCTATATCTTTCTGAATAAGAGTAGTTCATTAATTAGTGAATCAACCTAATATGTAAAACATGAAGGACAATTAGTAAATATTAATTCCTATACAAAATAAATTAAGTAAATATAGTGACCAGTTTCACTGTGTTTATGTAGAGGTACACATTTCTTTTAGTCCTTCAATTAATTTTTTGTTGTTGTTAAAACCCAATGCAGGTCATATAACCTTGAGTCAAGTGAGGAAAAAGGATTTTCATATTTTTTTCTAACCTTGGATAAAACAAAGTGTTGTTTATCACCCACGTATTTTAGCAAATGGTGCTGAGATGCTGTGTGTATCTGATGACCATTTATTTTGGCAGTGGAGCTATGGTGAACAGCTGAACATTAAGTACCGCAGACACACCCCCCATCTGTCTAGAATGCAGATACAGCTGCAGTACTGGCACTGGGGTGCTGTTAAATGTTGTTTTGCTCAAAACCTTGAGTACTTTAAACATGACAATTAATATTCCATGAATCAAAATTGAAAATTCATATTCTTCTTGATTCCCTATGACCCAGATTATTTCTCATTGCTCACATGTTGAACTATTTATATGAATTTACCCAGTTACCAACAAAATATGACCCAGTTACCAACAAAATATTAGGTTCTTAGAGAACATTCATATTTTTCATACTAAAAAATCCCAACATTTTGGTTTACTCTCGTTCAGGCTTATTCCAGTATATAATGGGCAGCTTTGGATATAGAATCATAAAAAAATGTTGAAATATCAGTTGAGTGACTATTTAGTAAACATGTTGGTTTGGAGTATTTGACTTTAAAGTTAATATTTAAACCTGCTTCAGAATTCTTCTCAGTAAATGAACGATTTAATTTAAATCATCCTTCCTATTCATCCTTTCACAATGTGTACTTTTTAATAGAGTCTCCGTTACTTAAGAAGTGAAATTAAAATCTCAGTATTGCATTTTTTATTTGGAAATAACTATTGCTTCCTAAAACTATTTCCACAATGGCTTCAGAGCATAACATTCTTAAAAACTTTATTAATATTGTTGCTCTTGGTCAACTTGATAATTAGCTTGATTATTAGTAGCATACCTGATCTTCATAACACTAACAAGATAGTTTCTACTGGAATTCTCTATTTTTAAGTTTTTATCTTTTTTGATACATGTATTACACTCTAGTAACTTAAAGCATTCTTTAAATACCTTTGCTTTTGACCACTGTATTTGCTTCACAAAAAGACAGAACAGTATGGTAAATTATTATTTTGCTTTGTCCAAAACAACATTTTATTTTTGCTGCTAAACAAAAAATATTGTCCATTCATAGACAATTTAGTACCCAAATAATAAATCATACATTTGATAGATTCAAAATATCTGAGCTTCTAAGCTAAGTTCTGTTTGCAAAAAAATAGTTTATGAAGCTTACTCTATTCATTATTAAATTGTCTAAGTAATCCTAAGTGTTTTTGTTGAGATACATTTTAGGGGATCTCATCTACCCTCATCCTATGCCTCTCCAATCTCTAAAAATGAATTTTAAATAACAATGGAGATCTAATTTTCCCATCTTTCTGTATATTTTGGCCTAGCTTATATTTACCTTTATTTTATGTATTTATTTTTCATGCATTATACTAACCATCAAATTCTTAATTCTTTCAGGTCTGATCAACCTCTTAACTAGTAAGTGAAGTCGCAATATCATTGTGACTCAAAATAGCTGATAAACCCACTGTTGTGAATATGGGGTGAAGTTAAGACATTTAATAGATATAGAGGTGGCATATTTAAAACTGTCAGGGGAGAGCACTGTAATTTTATTTTACTTTATCCAATGATAATTTTTTTTGGTTTTCTATTTCTACTGGAAAGAAAAGAACAATCTAGTTCTTTTTTTTATTATTATACTTTAAGTTCTGGAATACATGTGCAGAACATGAAGACTTGTTACATAGGTATACACGTCCCATGGTGGTTTGCTGCACCCATCAACCCGTCATCTACATTAGGTATTTCTCCTAATGCTATCCCTCCACTCTGCCCCACCCCCTGACAGGCCCTGGTGTGTGATGTTCCCCTGTGTTCTCATTATTCAACTCCACTTATGAGTGAGAACATGCAGTGATTGGTTTTCTGTTCCTGTGTTAGTTTGCTGAGAATGATGGTTTCCAGCTTCATCCATGTCCCTGCAAAGGACATGAACTCATCCTTTTTAATGGCTGCATAGTATTCCATGGTGTATATGACCCACATTTTCTTTATGCAATCTATCATTAATGGGTATTTGTGTTGATTCCAAGTATTTGCTATTGTGAATAGTGCCGCAATAAACATATATGTGCATGTGTCTTTATAAGTAGAATGATTTATAATTCTTCAAGCTACCATTGACTTTCTTCACAGAATTGGAAAAACCTACTTTAAATTTCATATGGAACCAAAAAAGAGCCCGTATAGCCAAGACAATCCTAAGCAAAAAGAACAAAGCTGGAGGCATCACGCTACCTGACTTCAAACTATACTACAAGGCTAAAGTAACAAAAACAGCATGGTACTGGTACTAAAAGAGATATATAGACCAATGGAACAGAACAGAGGCCTCAGAAATAACACCACACATCTACAACCGTCTGATCTTTGATAAACCCGACAATAACCAGCAATGGAGAAAGGATTCCCTATTTAATAAATGGTGCTGGGAAATCTGGCTATCTATATGCAGAAAGCTGAAACTGGACCCCTTCCTTACACCTTATACAAAAATTAATTTAAGATGGATTAAAGACTTAAACGTAAAACCTAAAACCATAAAAACCCTAGAAGAAACCTAGGCAATATCATTCAGGACATAGACATGGGCAAAGACTTCATGACTAAAACACCAAAAGCAATGGCAACAAAAGTCAAAATTGACAAATGGGATCTAACTAAACTAAAGAGCTTCCACAAAGCAAAAGAAACTATCATCAGTGTGAATAGGCAACCTACAGAATGGGAGAAAATTGTTGCAATCTCTCCATCTCACAAAGGGCTAATATCTGGAATCTACAAGGAACTTAAATAAATTAACAAGAAAAAAAACCATCAAAAAGTGGCTGAAAGATATGAATAGATACTTCTCAAAAGAAGACATTTATGTGGCCAACAAACATATGAAAAAAAGCTCATCATCACTGGTGATTAGAGAAATGCAAATCAAAACTACAATGAGATACCATCTCCCACCAGTTAGAATGATGATCAACCTAGTTCTTTGATGAGTAACAATTCTACCATGAATTGACTAGGATGGTTTATGGCAAAGTCTTTCTTTAATAGAGATCAGTTAAATAATTAACAAAGAAAAACATACATGTAACTTCAAAAACTGATAAGATTTTTTAAACACTCATAGCAACCCTACCAAATAGGTAGATATATTTTTTATACCAATTGCTTATATATAACACTCTCGGAGAAGGTGAATACAATTTCAAAGGAAAGAACAAGTCAGTGACCACTCAGAACTAAAATGTCATGGCTTGATTTCCAAACTTAGAGTCTGGACCATTTTGTGGCTTAGATGAGACCAGTCTAGCATTTCAGTACACTTGCCTTCCACATAGAAAAGCTCTTAGCTGCAACCTATGAAATTTACTAAGTTATGCCAGTGTCACTGGATAAGGCAATTCTTTCTGTAGGAGTAAATAAACGGGTCAGATAGGTTGTTTACTGTAGAAGAAAATATGTCATCAGCTACACAAAAACCACGAGTCAGTAATTTATCTTTTCTAAGAGTATTTGTGAAGAACTAAATCTTAAAGAGTATATGAATGAATAGAAAGTAAAAAGAATAATTAATTATTTCATGGTCTCTATTCTCTTTAATCAATAGATGGACAGAGTTCTATGTTTGGAATTTAAATAAGTCTTTTCAAAGAAACATCAAAAATGATATTTGAAAACAATTTTGAGGAAATTTTCAAAAATCAAAGTTGTGATAAATCATAGAAGAGAATGAAATATTAAAAGTCTAACAAAAATTAAAATTAGAATAATTTTTATTGATAATAAGATTGGCTTATAACCAAACTGTTTATTAACTAATAACTACAGTATATTGCTTGAAATATCCCTCCCTTTATTAAGATTTCCCATGTCAGGAATAATATTTTTCAGCTTATGATCTTTTAATGATATGTCTTAAAAATTGAAAGTACATCAATATCTAAAGAGGATAGCTACAGTCACAAAGGTATGTGAATTAAAAATTAAATTTCTAATTAACATCAAAGGTGAATTTGGAAAGAAGATGCAGTAAAACTTTGGTTAGCAGAAACCCATAGCCAAGGTTTCAATTAATCAAGATTTTTCTTAACATTAAGAAGAAAACCATATTATATGAAAATGATATATTAAAAGTTTAGTAAAAAGTAATTTTAGACTGAAATTTGAAGTAACTATATTGCTGTTCAGTCCTCTACATTATATATTGTTTAAAAAGAAGTGATGTAGAGATCATAATTCTATATAGCATTGTAAGCTCTTCAGTCCTCACCAAGGATTTAAACTATATTCAACTTGTTAGAATGTCTAAAATCCAGTCAACGAATAATGCTTAATTCACTTTCAGACAGTGATGCCTAATTCACCTTTGTTAATGCTGATTAACTGAACTAAGAGAAGAGCTCTATCTGGGCATAAGTGTTCTCAGGGTAACAGGCACAATAATGCCTGTAATTATGAGAATGCTAAATTAATGCAAAATTATCAAGACACACTTTCATCAATTACACATTTAAATGTTAAAATAACATTTTAAGTTTTGACGATCTTTTCATGCAGAGACAGGTCATTCTTTCATCTTTGTTAAAGCTATTTATGTAGAAGTCTTGATTTCCACTTAGGGAATATAGAGGCCATGAAATAGCTGATTTATTTATTTGTTCAAAAAGTCAGAAAAGCATGTGATCATGTGCATGCCCTGATTTTATAGAAACCAAAGATACATAGGTATTTCAAGGATCAGACATATTCCAAGAAATAAAGAGAGCTAGAGCCTTCTGAAAGCTCAACTAAGTCCTATTAAATAACCAGGGATTCTGACAGCATAAGTCTTTGTGATGTGCACAGTCAGTAAATCATAAGTTTAGGGGGCTCTCCTTCACCATTTCTCTGAACTTTTCACTCTCTACCACTGTTTTCTTGGGAGCTTCACATAATTCTGCCAAAAAATATAGATTCCCACTCCACAACACACATGAAGCATGGGGCTTCAAAGCACTTTTCTTCCTTTTCTTTTCAGAAATATGTTCCTCATGAAATATTCATTTCCACTGTCATCCACTCTACCTCCTGCAACGGATTAGGGGATTAAAAGGTCATTTTTTTTGTTTTGTTTTTAACACTTTTATCGCAAATTCTGCATATGGAGATTTGACTCATACACACTTTCATCTAAGATATCTGTGATAGCAGCTCCTCAGTCAAAAAAGGGAGGTAAAACTAGTTTCATACAAATATCCTGTTACACTAATTCATTGCATTGTCAGTAGCATGTATTTATTTGTTGAACGTCAAATTATTAAGCACTATGTAAATATTGGTATCTGTGAATTGAATTAGAAACAAAATTAAGTTTTCTAACTTTATGTAACTTACAGTCTAATTCAGATATATTACTCATGAGGCCATACTCTATTTACAAAGGCTTAGAGGGCAAAGCTAATTGAAGTAGGTCTCAGCTCAGTACAGTTTCCTAAGTAGTCACTCCCAGTGCATCAAAATGTCACCAGATATGATTTCTTTTTCAAGTCATTTGTTAATAGCTATGAACTATGTGAAAGCAGGGAGCAAATATTGTTTAACATTATATACCACAGAACCCAGCACCATTTGATAAATAAATATTTCTTTAACTTGTGTAGTACCTCTTGAATTTAAAAATAGTTAATAATGTCTTTTACTTTCAAATAATATCAAGCATGAAATAGATGCTTAAAAAAAACTGGAGAAAAGGATGAGCTCTCTCATCTTCCTAAACAAATCTGAAAAATTTGAACAGGGGATTACTACTATAAATGTGTAGGAATTATAAATGTATTTACTAATTCACTTTATTGAGTGCCACCTCTGAGTCTAGCACTGTTTTAGGCTTTTGGGAATCATTAATAAACAAAAGACAAGACCCTGCCCTCATGGGGTCTACATCATGTTGGAGGAGATAGCGCACAATAAACATAACAAATAAGAAACATAGTAAAACGTAGTAAAAACTGAAAAAGGAGCATTTGGAAGATAGAGTAAAAAATATTGGGGAAATTTGCAAGATTACATAGGTTGGGTATTATCAAAGGTAAAACTTGAGCAAAGACTTGAAGGAAGTGAAGAAGGTATCCAAGTAGTTTTCTGGAGGAATAATATTTTAAGCAATAAATCAATGAACATTTATTGAGTGCTAACTAGGAGCAGGGAAGATAGAGAATGAAGAGAGGCAAGTTGTACCCTAAATTATGCCTGTGTCTTTGCAAATTGTTGATATAGTTACAGAATAAGGAATCAAGGATAGGGAAGAAAACGTAGGTAAGGTAGATGGCAGAATAAAACATGTATTTTAACAATAAGTAATCAGAAACAAAATACACTATGGCCACAGTTGTGAGTGTTCAGATAAGATAGGGGATACCTTAATGGGCTTTGAAATCATCAGGGAAGGGGTTGCAGGACATAAAAGAAAATTGTGAAGTCCTTGAATATTTCTCCCTTGCCTATGCCATAGGAATTATTTTTAATCATATTTGTATTTTTTCAACACTTTTCCTGTGGAACAGTATGTATTTACCCATATTCTGCCTTGCCTCCTTTACTATAGATTAACCATCTCTTTTTCAAATTAGTCTAACCTCCTACTTCTGCAGTAGATTGCATTTCCTCCTCTCTCTTGCATCAGTTTTTCTCCTATTTGTTCTTTAAAACCAACATGAAAACGGACTATTTTGGGTTTTTTTTCCTTCTTAAACAAAACACCTCCTTGAACTCTTCTCATTCTACTTGGAAAATGGTCAGTCTTTGGCCCTCCTCTCCCACTGAAACTACTCTTGTAAAAGTCATTACCTATGGTGCTGTATTAGTCCGTTTTCATATGGCTATAAAGAACTGCCGGAGACTGGTAATTTATAAGAAAGAGGTTTAATTGTCTCATGGTTCAGCATGGCTGTGGAAGCCTCGGGGAACTTACCACCACGGCAGAAGGCTGAGGCGAAGGAAGGCACTTTTTTTCACAAGGTGACAGGAAGAAGTGCTGAGCAAAGTGGGCAGAGCCCCTTATAAAACCATCAGATCTTGCGAGAACTCACTCACTAACAAGAGAACAGTAAGGGGGAAAACATCCCCATGATTCAATTACCTCCATCTGGTCTCTCCTTTGACACGTGGGGATTATAATTAGAGATGAGGTTTTGGGAGGGAGCACAGCTAAACCATAACAGGTGATCCGTTAAGCCTTCCTGGTTCTCCATCACACTTGATTAAGCAGCAACATTGGCCTCAGGTGTGATCTGTCTCCATGGAATCACCATCATCTTTTATCTTCTAAGGAACTGTACATTTCAGGTTTTCTTCCACTTCCTCTGATGTCTTCTTTTCTGGTTTGTCCTCCAGTCCCCAAGCTCTAAAGACTGGACAGCCTTCAATGGTCAGTTCTTGGACCTTATCACAGGCTCAGTTATTTGGAAAAAGACATTGATATGCAATTTGGCATGCAGAATATTTATTAGAAATCAAAACCAGTGAAGAAAGGGGGAGGTTAGCAATATTGGGCAGAAATGGAACTGCACCAGTAGGAGAAACTGAACTGCAGTGCAGATTCATGGCAGTTTCAGAAGACTCCATTAGAAGGAGAATCAGAGTTGCCCTAAAGTGGGCTAAAATGGCTCAGTCCTTATTCTCATGTCCATCAGTCATTGCATATGGATGGACCACCAAGGGTAACTGAGATAAACCCTTAAGGATAATCAGATGGAGGCTGTGTATTGACAGAACTCCCAGAAGGGGGATCTAGGCAGCTCATCCCCATGTCCACCACAGACATCTTCTCTACCTACATAAAATTTCTTTTTATTTTGTGCAGCCATATGGCTTTATTTCAAAACTACATAAAGTATTTTATGTTCATGGCCAATCCCAAACTGATTCGACACATTAAATGAAATATATCCCAAACTAAACTCGTAATTCACCCATCTAATATGTTCCTACCACAATTGTCTCCATATAAATTAACAGCAACTGTATTAATTCAGTAGTAATGTTAGCAAACATGGAACTTTTACTCTCTTTTTTGTTTTTTTCATGGAGCTATTCTTTTATTAATTTTTTTATTTTAATTTTTGTGGGTACATAGTAGGTATATATATTTATGGGGTATATGTAATATTTTTATACAAGCATACCATGTGTAATAGTCACATCAGAGTAAATGGGATAGCCATCACCTCAAGCATGTATCCTTTCTGTTATGAAAAGTCCAATTATACTTTAATTACTTAAAATATACAATAAGATATTGACTATATCACTCTGTTGTGCTATCAAATGTGGGTCTTATTCATTCTTTCTAACTGTATTTTGTACCCGTTAACCATCCCCGCTTCCCTAGCACTCTACTAAACTTCACAGCCTCTGGTAACCATCATTCGACTCTCTAACTCCATGAATTCAATTGTTTTAATTTTTAGCTCCCACAAATAAGTGATAACATGTGAAGTTTGTCTTTCTGTGCCTGATTTATTTCACTTAACATAATATCCTCCAGTTCCCTTCATGTTGTTGCAAATGACAGGATAACATTCTTTTTATAGCCAAATAGTACTCCACTGTATATATGTATTACATTTTTTAAATCCATTTATCTGTTGATGGACACAGCTGCTTTCTAAACTTATCTGTTGTGAACAGTGCTGCACCAAACCTGGGAGTGCAGATACCTATTTGATATACTGATTTCCTTTCTTTGGGGTATATACCCAGCAGTGGGATTGCTGGATCATATGGCAGCTCAATTTTTAGTTTTATGAGGAACCTCCCAACTGTTTTTTGTAGTGGCTGTACTAATTTACCTTCCCACCAACAGTGTACAAGGGTTCCCTTTTCTCCACATTCTCACCAGCATTTGTTATTGCCTTTTTTATATATATAAACCAATTTAACTGAGGTGAGATGATATCTCACTGTAGCTTTGATTTGCATTTATCTGATGATCAATGATGCTGAGCACCTTTTCATATACATGATTTCCATTTGTATGTTTTATTTTGAGAAATGTCTATTCACATCTTTTGCCCAAAAGGATAAAGGATTTTGTCCTTTATTCTGTTAATATGATGTGTCACATTGATTACTTTGCATATGTTGAAACATCCTTGAATGCCTGGGATACATCTCACTTGGTCGTGATGGATTATCTTTTTCATGTGTTGTTGAATTTGGTTTGCTAGTATTTCGTTGAGGATTTTTTCATCAACGTTCATCAGAGATATTGGCCTGTAGTTTTCTTTTTCTGTTGTGTCTTTGCCTAGTTTTGGTATCAGGGCAAAACCTGCCTCATAAAATGAGTTTGGACGTATTCCCTTGGCCTCCATTTTTTTTAAAAATAGTTTTAGTTTAAAACTATTTAGTTTAAAGAACTAATGTTCTTTAAACGTCTGATAAAATTCAGGAGTGAAGCCATCATGTCTGGGGCTTTTCTTTGCTGGGAGACTTTTAATTATGGCTTCCATCTTGTTACTTGTTATTGGTCTACTTGGGTTTTGTATATCTTCACGGTTCAGTTTTGGTAAGTTTTATGTGTCTAGGAACTTACCTATTTTTTTCTGGGTTTTCAAATTTATTGGCATATAATTGTTCATAGTGGCCTCTAATAATCCTTTGACTTTCTGCAATATCAGTTGTAATGTCTCCTTTTTCATCTCTGATTTTATTTATTTGGGTCTTCTCTCTTGTTTTCTTAGTCTGCTAAAGGTTTGTGAATTTTGTTTTTCTTTTCAAAGAACCAGCTTTTCATATCTTTGATCTTTTGCATTGTTTTCCTCTATCAATTTCATTCATCTCTGCTCTGATCTTTATTATTTCTTTTCTTCTACTAGCTTTGGGTTTGGTTAGCTTTCACTTTTCTAGTTCTTTAAGATTCATCATTGGATTGTTTAAAGTTTTTTTCTTTATTAATATAGGCACTTATGCTCATTTCCCTCTTACTACTACTTTTGTTGTATCCCATAGATTTTGGCTATTGTGTTTCCATTATCACTTGTTTCAAAAAAATTTTCAATTTATTTTTTAATATCTTCATTGACCCATTAGTCATTCAAGAGCATATTGTTTAATTTCCCTGTGTTTAGATAGTTGCCAAAATTCCTCTTGTATTTACTTCTAGTTTTATTCCATTGTGGTCAGAGAAGTTACTTGATACTATTTCAACTTTTTAATGTTTTCAAACTTGTTTTGTGGCCTCACATATGGTCTATCTTTGAGAATCATCCATATGCTGAGGAGAAGAATGTATATTCTGTAGCCCCTGGATGAAATGATCTGTAAATATCTATTAGGTACATTTGGTCCATAGTGAAGAGTAAGTATAATGTTTCTTTGTTGATTTTCTCTGTGGATGACGTGTACAATGCTGAAAGTAGGGTGTTGAAGTCTCCAGCTATTATTCTATTGGGGTTTATATCTTTAACTGTAAGAATACTTGCTTTATATATCTGGATGCTCCAATGTTGGATGCATATATATTTCCAATTGTTTTATCCTCCTGCTGAATTGACACCTATATCATATAATGAACTTCTTTGTCTCTTTTTATAGTTATGTGTGACATAAGTATAGCTACTCCTCCTCTTCGGTTTCCATTTCCATGGAATATCTTTTTCCATCCCTTTATTATAATTCTATGTGTGTCTTTAAGTACAAGAAGGTTATAGAACACCAAGCAGATTTAAGGTAAAGTGTGTTTCTTGTAGGCAATAGATTGTAGGGTCCTGTTTTTTTTCTTACTCTGTTAAGCCATTCAATGTCTTCTGATTAGAAAGTTTAGATCATTTACATTCAATGTTATTAATGATAAATAAGGACTTACTCCTGTCATACTGTTATTCATTTTCTGGCTGTTTGGTAATATTCTCTTCCTTTTTTGCTTCCTTCCTTTCTTCCTTTTCTCTGGTGATTTTCTCTGGTGGTATGTTTTAATTTTTTTCCTTTTTATTTTCTGGGTATCTATTGTACAGTTTCAGGTTTGAGGTTACCATGAAGCTTGCAAATAATATCTTATAGTTCATTATTTTAAACAGATGAAACTTAAAACTGATTATATAAACAAACAGGCAAAAAGAAAACTATTACAAACTCTATTATTTAACTTTGTCTCCCCAATTTTTAACTTCTTGTTATTTCTATCTTATTGTACTATGTCTTGAAATGTTGTCGGGGTTATTATTTTGATTGGTTCATCGTTTCATTTTTCTACTTAACATATGAGTAGTTTAAATACCATAATTACAATGTTATTATATTCTGTGTCTTTCTGTTTATTATTATCAGCGAGTTTTGTACCTTCAGATGATTTCTTATTGTTCATTAACTTCTTTTCCTTCAGATTGAAGAACTCCCTTTAGCATTTTTTGCAGGACAGGTCTGGTGTTGATGAAATTCCTCAGCTTTTGTTTGGCTGGTAAAGTCTTTGTTTCTCCTTCATGTTTGAAGGATATTTTCAATGGATATACTATTATAAGGTAAAAGTGTTTTACCTTTAGCCCATTGAATGTGTCATGGCACTCTCTCCTGGCCTGAATGTTTCCACTGAGAAGTCTGCTGCCAGATGTATTGGAGCTCCATTACATATTATTTGTTTATTTTCCCTTGCTGCTTTTAGGATCCTTTGTTTATTTTTAAGCTTTGAAGTTTGATTATTAAATACCTTGAGGTACTCTTCTTTGGGTTAAATCTGCTTGGTGTTCTATAACCTTCCTGTACTTAAATATTGATATCTCTCTCTAGGTTTGTGAATTTCTCTGTTATTATCCCTTTGAATAAACTTTCTACCTCTATTTCTCTCTACCTCCTCTTTAAGGCCAATTACTCTTAGATTGGCCTTTTAAAAAAGCCACTTTCTATATCTCATAGGAATGCTTCATTATTTTTTTTTCTTTTTTCCTTTTTCTCCTCTGTGTATTCTCAGATAGCCTGTCTTCAAGCTCACTAATTCTTTATTCTGTTTGATCAATTTGCTATTAAGAGACTCTGATGCATTCCTTAGGATACGAATTGAATTTTTCAGTTCCGTATTGCTGCTTAACTCTTTTTAATTATTTCAATTTATTTGTTAAATTTATCTGATAGGATTCTAAATTCCTTCTGTGGGTTATCTTGAATTTCTTTCAGTTTCCCCAAAGCAATTTTTTTTTTTTTTTTTTTGCAACAGAGTCTCGCTCTGTCACCCAGGGTGGAGTGCAGTGGTGCAATTTCAGCTCACTGCAACCTCTGCCTCTCAGGTTCAAGCAATTCTCCTGCCTCAGCCTCCCGAGTAGCTGGGATTACAGCTGCATGCCACCATACCCGGATATTTTTTTATTTTTATTTTTCTGTAATTTTAGTAGAGACTGGGTTTCACCATGTTAGCCAGGATGGTCTCGACCTCCTGACCTTGTGATATGCCCGCCTTGGCTTCTCAAAGTGCTGGGGTTACAGGCATGAGCCACTGCGCCCATCCAAAGCAACTATTTTGAATTATCTGTCTAAAAAGTCTCATATCTCCATCTCTCTGGGACTGCCCCGGTGCCTTATTTAATTCATTTGATGAAGTAATGTTTTCCTGGAGGGCCATCATGCTTGTGGATGTTTCTCAATGTCTAGGCATTGAAGAATTAGGTATTACTGTAGTCTTCACAATCAGGCTTGGCTGTACCATTTTCTTGGGAAGGCTTTCCAGGTATTCAAATGGACTTGGGTGCTGCGATATAAGATTTTGGTCATTGCAGCCATATCTTCTTTAGGGTGAACTTCAAGTCCAGTAACATTGTAGTCCTTGCAGTCTTGTAGAGGTACTGCCTTAGTGGTCTTGGATGAGACTGAAGTAATTATCTGGATTACCAGACAGATAGTGTTTTTTTTTTTTTCTTACTTTCCCCCATACAAAAGGAACTCTCTCTCTCTCTGTGCTGACCTGCCTGGAGCTTGAGGAGGGGTGACAAAACACCCCTGGGGCCACCACCACTGGGACTGCAATGGATCAGACCTGAAGCCAGCACAGCACTAGGTCACATGCCCCCAAAATCCACTGGCTTCAATCCCAGCACAGCTCTAGGCCTTGCCTAGGAGTTGCAGTCCTTGTATTCTAGACAAGTTTTCAAGTTTATTTAGGACCCCAAAGCACTTTAGAGCACGGTGGTGAGGCTTGCTGAAACTCAGTTTTCTGCCACTTGGATGTGCAATTCCCCTATGGCTAGGGCTGGTCTAAATGTTCCCTCCATGGGCATCAGCTGAGTTCTGCCCAGTTTTGGCAGCACTGGCTTCCAGAGCAAAGTCCCACAATAGTTGCACTCTCTCTCTCTCTCTTGCTTAGCACATAGATTCCTGCTCCATGCCATGGGAGCTGCTGCTGGAATATTGAGGAGGGATGTTGTTGGTCATTCAAGACTCTCTTTCCTCCCCTTCTCAGTGCCTCTTTCGGTGATATGAATTTAAAACCAGTTACCATGATCACTCACTTGATTTTTGGTTCTTAGGAAGGTATTTTTTTGTGTAGATAGTTGTCAAATTTGATGTTCCTGCAAAGAGGATGATCGGGGGAGTCTTCTATTTAGCCATCTCACTCTGCCTCTCTCTCATGGAGCTGTTTTTAAGTATTTTTTTTCTCTTGCACTTCATATTCAATATGAATGCAAATTTTATTGGATCTATTTTCCAGAAAATGGACTTTTACTACTTTACCATCTTATTTTGCAGATTGATTGATCTGGGGCTATGGAAGGCAGAATTTTCATACCAGGAAGGTAGGGTGGCCTCTAGTTCCCATAGGTGATTGGCTTATCGAATAATTCTGTGGGCTGCCAAGAACGTGAAACCCATTAAGGATCAGGGAGAGTGTAGCTGATCTGGTTATCAGGAGAACTAGCTGGGTGAGGAATCTTTCTCACTAGGTTGGGGGAATATCTGGTAAAAACAGCAAAACTCAAGCTTCAGGACTTTGGGGCCCTGTGAGACTCATATATATCCGAGCAGGCAGCACATGGAATCACGGACCTTACAATACATAACTCCATACCAACTTGTCTAATCCAAGTCACCGTTGCTGCAATAGTCTTATTAACTAATCTTAATAAAGTGGTCACAAAGTTCCTGTCAAAATTTAAGTCAGATTGTGTCACTTCTCTGCTCAAAACCCTAAAATGCTTTCTCATCTCCATCAGAACAAGACCCAAAGTTCTTAAATAGCTTTAAAAGCCTAACATTTCTGGCTACTGTCATTTCTCTGACTTTGTTTTCTAATACTCTCCTTCACTCATCCACTTCGTTTTAGCCACATTGACCCCCATTCTACCTGTTGAACACATTTAAAATGTCCCCATTTCAGGAACTGGGCTCTTGCTCTTCCTTCTGCCTTAAATGCTTTACTACCCACTTCAAATCTTTGTTCACTCATTCACCTCTTTTGGATCTCCATTGATATGCCATTTTTATAAAGAGGCCGCTCCAAACTTTCCTATTTGAAATTCTGTACATTCTCATACAGCACATTAGCTACTTCAATACTTTATTTCATTCCCATACAGTTATCACCATCTAAAATATTACATAATAATTTACTTATGATTTGTTCATCTTTCTCCACTGAGATATAAAGTACATGAGGACAGTTAGTTTGCCTATCAGTTCATTCTCATAACTCATCACCTAAAACAAATTTTTGGTAGATTTGGGCACATGGTAAGTATTTGTTGAATAAAATAAATGAATAAATCTATCCTTGTTTTATTATTTAATTTATATGAGATAATATAAAATTTTAAAAACTTTTTCAAACATCGAACATGATTTTTCTCAAAAAATATAAAAATGTGCATTAAATTAGGTTTTGTTTGTTTTCTATCAATTTCACACATGAGATCAGGCTTCTGAGAAAGTGACACACAGGGGTTGGGAAACACAGGTTGGAAGTTACCCTTTGGGGTAAACTTTGGCCAATGAAAGACAGACAACAGGAAAGATCCATCACATCATTTTTTGCACTTCAACTCAATGTTTCTTACACCTTCTCCAAAGATCTTCCATGTGGCCAAGCTCCAATTTCTGGTGAAGCTGTCAGCATATCTGCAAGATCCCATCTTAGTTTTGCAGTCCCTCCTGCTCTGCCTTACATCCTTCTTTCTTTTACCATTGTATCAAATTACATCTTTCAGGAAAGAGTTGGCATATAATTACTCATACTTGATTTCTATAGGGAAAATAGACTACAATACTCTTCTATCCCAGGACAGAATTTCTCCAAGTAAAAGAAGTGGTTATTATTAGAAAGGAGTATACAATCTAGTTGGTAGATTGGAAAGGAGTCTACAGTCTAGTTAGTAGCATAGGATACAAAATGTTAAATAATATAGAATCAACAATTAGAGAAAAAAATCCATATTTGAAAAAACAGATAAAAAGAGCAAGATTTTAAAAAAGCAGTATAATTGTTACAGGTTGAAGTCAACAGGGAATATTGATCTTAAAATATTTAAAGATATGGATTAGAAGACCATAAATTTCAGGAAATTGTAGCCTGAAGAAAATCTTGGACCAGAGATATGTTACGGGAGTTCACCTGCATGAAAGGGAGAGTGAAGACAATGAGAGAAAGGATTTCTTTTGGGTAATAATAAAAAAGCAACTTAGAATAGGTAAGGTATATAGGTGGAATGCAAAGGGACTTACTGAGGATAAGTGCTAAAGGTATGATTAAAAAACAGCTAGAATACAAAAGGAAAAGATAAGTAGATTTTATGGTACAATATGAACCTTTCTCAAAGACTTTCCATAATGTTCTCCTGACTTTACTCTCACTATGGGGTGTGTGTGTGTGTGTATGTATGTTGTGTTGTGTGTATATACACATATTTCTACCAAAATAACATCATTCATTCCTTTGAATTATTTTGTTAGAATACAGTTTAGTCAGAAAATGGATATTTTAGTAGATGAATAAAATTGGGAAGTATAAGTCTGCAACATGAGTCATTTCTGGAAATGTAAGCTCAGGAGAAAGGATAAAATGAAGGATTCTGTGCAGCCATGGAAGCTAATAACAGTCCAGGGACTTGGGAAACAATTGTGCCATGAATGAATGAAGGCCATGGAAAACAATGCCAAGGGATGCAGGAGACTCCATCTGTCTTACGGTGTAGCCCAGGGGCAAACTTGACATAGAATAAATGTAATAAAAAAAAAACTAGCAGTGAAAATAGATTGCAGGTAATATAAAGGCATATAAATAGTAGATAGCATTTCCTCTGTATGCAGTGTAACTCATATACTTTTACTATCTTGTCATAGATTAACAACTTGGCAAAAGCCTACGGTGGACAGTAAAACCCATGGAGCCAGCAACCATGATTGTTTTATTCATCACTATGTACCAGAACTTGGAACAGCACCTGTCACATAGAATTCAACACCTATTTATTAAATCAATAGATTGATTATCTCAGAGGCTCACAAATTTTCTCAGTTCTCAGTAGTTTAGGATCCCAATAATTTTTCATGGCCTCCTTTAACAAAAAGAAATAACTAACAGTTTATTAAATAACAAAACGCCAAAAGGCTCTACCTCTTAATAGCATCACCTTAGTGGTTGGAATTTCAACATACGAATTTGTGGATGATACAAATATGCAGTCTGTAGCACTTTTCAAACTAGTAGTTCTCTTGATGTCCAACAGATATTGCTAAGTTTCCCTAGCAATTTAATGTATCTCTCAGTGTTCCTGACAGTTGTTACTCGGGAACCTCAGGATTAATTTAAAATAAATGAAAAGTTGTCCATTAAGTTTTTAATTTCAGAATTTTTACATAGAAAAAAACACTTTTACATCTTCACTATAGAACAAAAAAGGTGCTAACAAAATTGTAAAAATTAGGACATATACCCTGAGTGATATTACTGTTATTAATTACATAAGTTTTAAAAGCTATTTCCCATAATAACAATTAATTGACCAATTCCAAATTTGTCAATTTTATTCATCAGACTTACAAACAGACTAAATATAACTTTAAAACAAGGTAAGGGCAGATTTTAGATATATAAAGGCTGAGGCTGCTATTCTGTGACATAATACAGAAACAATACAGTTTTCAACATTTCTGTCATCAAATAACATAGATTAGCTTTCAAAAGCAAAACAAGCTACACTGGCCTTCTTTAACTTCCAATGTTTTTAAAAGTGTTATTATTTTTCTTATATATTGCATACAAGATAAATAATTGATTTTATGTTACTGGTTTCAGTGTCATTGTGTAGTATGTCTCCAAGGAGTCAGCAATTTACAATCCTGACTGTTCTCAGCTAAGCTGCGGCTAACCAAACAGCAGCAGCGGATAGGAAAGTGCTTTTAACAATAGCACAAACATGTCTACACTTCAGCATAGAGTTTTAGTGATATACTTCTTAGGTACTCAGGGTAACAATTTTCCACAGATCATAGTTTTAAATAATGTCAAGTCAATTTTCTAGCATTATTCAGACAAAACCAATAAATTGTAAGATAGCATAGAAGGATGGATAAAATTGAGAGAGAAGTATAGTAAAAACATAAAAGCTAGTTTTTATATAGATTGACACCCTAGTTTATTGTAAATAAATTCTTAGTTATTTCTATTGTCGACCATACAGTATTGAAAACAGCCGTGGCTGTTTAATTCTACTCAATGGCTTAGTAATAACCAGTCTATAAATGTAATGTGAAAATTATCTACTGTCCTCTGATTCTGACTAAAAATATAATCAGGTTTACAATTATAATCATATGTGAATGAATCCAAGTCTGAGAAAGACTTTAGCCCAGTTCAAGTATTCCTCTTTATTTCTGGAACCTTTAAAGATACATTGCATCAAAGCACAAAACCTGTCTGTCAGCTGGAGCCATTATAAGTGGGACAGATTTTCTCTCTTGCACACTGTTCAACCAATAGACATCCAATGTGGGAAGATATTGAAGATTCGCATGGTTATTACTGGTTTCATTGTACCCACATTACTTTGCGGATGAGGTCTTCCTTGAGCAGAGTAAAATAAATCATTGACTTACTATAATACTTCGGTAAAGAAAACCATAAGATAATGGGTATCTCCTGTTATGGTGTTCACCTGAAAACACTGAAATACTTTCTGCCTTTTTGGGGTTTTTATTATTGATCTAAAAGTTTTGTTTCCCTTTGCAAGATTTTTAAAAATCATTTTTTATCATTTTCCAACACATATCTCCCCAGGCATTAGTTATCCATGATTTCCAATATATCATGTTATACTTGGAGATACTTTCCAAATATATATTTCCATTATGATGTTTTTGCTCCTATGTTTGTTTATGCTTGATCACCTACAATGTCAGTCTTCTCCACTGGGCATCACCTAACAATGATGCTTTCAACAGCAGAGGTATTTCTTTAGTTTAGGTTTCACATTATGCATTATGAATTAGAGGTAGATTTTTGTTTGTTTCATTTTGTTTGGTTCTGTTTTAATATAGCCTTGTACTGAATCACACTAAATGGCATCTATGGTTGAGGCTTCAGGATCGGGTCTCGGTTGACAATACTTATCAATGTTAACATATATGTTAGAATTAAGGTCAAATTGTGATTTTTTTTCAGAAGCTCATAAAATACAAGTCCGTTTTAAAATAATTTATTTGTAATTTAAATATCAGGACAAATTATATTAATTTTCAAATCCCTACTATGATTTTTCACAGCAAGCTACTTGTCTATTTTCTTTGGACCAGTGAGCTAGCTGGAAATATATTCTCCCAGCAATGGTAGAGGCACAAGAGGGCACACTCAAATACAAAAGCATATTAAGCATTGACCAAAGGCATTTTTCACTTTCCCATTCACTTTCTTGAGGCCAAGTTGTGGAAAATTTTACTGCCCCATGAAAAGTTTGGGGGGAGTAAATGAACTATTTTTGAACAATAATATAATCAAGTGAAAGTGCTATTATATATTCCATTTGAGCCAGGACGGTAGCTTGGAATAGGTGATAGTGATGAACATGGAAAGAACTGTAAAGCTGCTGATATTTAGAGAGTGATATAGATAGGATTAGGGATGGCTATGATGACTCTGGGAGAAGGTTTGTTGAGAAGGTGCCAAGTAATATTCCTGGGATATAACTTGAATAATTTGATTGCCTTGTTTGGGCCTTCACAGAGCGAATAGTGGAAAAGATGAGGCTGGTTTTATGGGTGGGGGTGCAAGGTTATAAATAACTGTCATTATTTTAATGATTTTTATCACTATTATTGTTGTTATTACCAATTTGAAAAATTGATGAGAGGATACGGCCTTCAGTGCTATATTTCCCATGCTTGGCGCAAAAACTGAATTTTTATGTCCCCCTAAAATTTATACATTGAAGCCTAATCCCAAGTGATGGTGTTTGGAGGTGGCCTCTAGGAGGTGATTGGGTCATGAAGGTGGAGCCCTCATAAATGGGATTAGTGCCCTATAACAGAAACCCCACAGAGCTTCCTCACCCCTTCTGCTAAGTGAGGACACAGTGAGAAGATGGTCATCTGTGAACCAGGAAGTGGGCCCTCATCAGACACTGAATCTGCCAATGCCTTCATCATAGACTTTCTACCCTCCAGAACTGTGAGAAATAAATGTTTGTTGTTAAGCCACCCGATCTGTGATATTTGTGTTATAGCAGCCCAAACAGACTAAGACACTTGGGCATGAATCTATTTAAGGATCCTAAAATCACTCAGCTATGTCCAGGGCTACCATTTCTTTCCTCCAACCAACAGTACCTATAGTATTGTTCATCCACCCTTCCTTCCCATCTTTGTATTGCTATGGTCACCCACCAGTAAAAATTACTGCACCTATTTACCATGTAGAAGTTGACTTAGATCCCATTCTCACCTTCTGTTATAAAATTTTATATGTATATGTGGACATAAACACATATATGTATTTTTGAGTTAATTGTCCTAGTTTTTGTACTGGGGACATACTTTCATTATCATCCTCTAATTAATACTTTCAGATTAGTAAATTGGTTTGATCTTAACTCCAGTTTTTTGTAGTTGTTGTTGTTGTTGTTGTTTGTTGTTGTTGTTTGAGATGGAGTCTCACTCTGTCACCCAGGCTGGAGTGCAGTGGCGCGATCTTGGTTCACTGCAAGCTCCGTCTCCCGGGTTCAAGCGATTCTCCTGCCTCGGCCTCCTGAGTAGTTGGGACTACGGGCGCCCACCAGCATGCCCGGCTAATTTTTTGTATTTTTTAGTAGAGACGGGGTTTCACCGTATTAGCCAGGATGGTCTCGATCTCCTGACCTCGTGATCTGTCTGCCTCGGCCTCCCAAAGTGCTGGGATTACAGGCGTGAGCCACCGCTTCCGGCCCAACTCCAGGTTTTAATTTTCAAAAATATGTTGTTTCCAATATTTCTGCCTAGGTTCATCAATTGCATCCATAAAGCAAGTATTACAGCATCTCCCATACCAAACCCAGACATTGAGATACTCTTTCCCACACTGACCTCAGCACCCTGGAGTCCTACTTGTTCAGGAGGTAGAATTGAGAAAAAAATTTATATAGATTTAAATTTTGTATTTTTAAATGCATCCAAATTGTTGCCATTTTGACAAAAGCCTACAACATTAAATAGTGTGAACTGCCTTTTGGTAAAATATGAAAATATAGAACGTTTTTACTATGATAATAGTAAACTATTATTACTATGATAATTGTTATATTCAACCTAGAAATCAAAATGAGGCTTAAAAAACAGGATCAAGAAAATATGGCTTGTTTCCACTTAAAATGTTGTTACTACTGCAGTACTTAAATTGCCCTTACATATATTAATGGTCTGTACCATTTAGCTCAATACGAGTTCAAGTGCATCTAGATCTCTCTCTCTCTCTCTCACACACACACACACACAAATGCAGACTTGTGCATACACATTCAATTTTTGACAAATTATTTAGCATTTTCAGCACAGCTGCACGGTGTATTTATTAATTGCCTGTAAAATCAGCATAATATGTTCAGTAAGTGCCAGCTTGGTGTATATTGTACATAATCACACATTTGAGCCACACAGTTGTTTATGTCACTTTATAATCATGCTAATAATTACCAGATAACTAAATTATTCCACAAACTATAAATGTTATATTTAATTACTTTCTCAATTTTTGCATGTTGCTATGGAGATTAAATTGCTAACTCAATCCATAAATTCATTTCTTTTATAATTTCCATCTGTATCAATAAGAATGTGGAATGAATTAACAAAACTGGGAAGCATGTGCAAACAAGTTAGCATTTTCTTGATATGTTTTCTATTCACATAGCTTCTATAGGATACCGTGAAAATTTATCAGGTTCTCTCTAACATCTTCAAAGCATTCCTGAGTGCTGAAAATTAAAGGAAGAGGAATAAAATAAATCTTTCATAAGATACAATTTCCACCTTCTGTAAGGAACTAACTAACTGATTAGAAAACTCTTTATAGGTTAAACCAACCATTACATTTTTATGATTCTGTGTATTTCTAAACATAAAAAATAAAGCTTTCTCACTATAATCTATCCCCATACAGTAAATATTACCATGGTCCATAACAAGTCTGTGTAACAATTTATCATATATGTTTTTTGTTTTTTTGTTTACAGTATCTTTTTATGGTGCTGAAAATTTCCTTAAGAATATTTCTTCATCCAAAGTTGTTTAAATCTTAAAAGTATCTTGTGATAAACACTGCATATGTGCCAATATTTTGCATAAAACAGCCAGCATTCATCTTACAAATTTTGAATATAAGAATTTGATTTGATTAAAATGAATTGCTCTTCTATTAGGTAGCAGGTATTGGAAGTATAAAAAAACACATGGAGTCAAGATCACTTGAAGATTCTGATTGTACTGAGAAATTTAAAATACATAAAACATAATAAAATCTTGAAATTTTGTATATACAAATATAATGTGTAAGTATCGTTCTGGAGTGACAATATCCCCCAAGGTTTTTGGGCTTATCTGCCCACTATATATTTGGGAAGAGATTCACACTAAAATATCCCAGTTCATTCCAGGTTTATTTATAAATAGGGAAAGTCTAAGACACTAGAAATGCTCAAACTTTGATTGGACTAGATATACATAAATGCTATCTATTGATTCATTCATAAATATTCATTTCTGCAACTGTTGATTCAACATGAATTTAGAAAATGCCCAGTAAAATAATAACATAGTTGTTACAATGTTACTATCACTTTTATAGCATAGTGCTCCAGGTTTCAGCAAATGTTGGGGAGAAGACATTAAGTGAATGCAAGAAACTGTAGTGGGAGATAGAATGTTATTAACGTCATAATATAAACAAGGAACTAAAAAACTCAAAAGAGGAGAAATTTAAATTATTTAAACCCCCTGGAAAGACAAAGTTTCTTCTTTGTAAAACTGAGCACTCTATATAATAATATGTAATTAAATATCAAAACATGTGGCCAAATAATTCCAGATAATATTAAATCTTCCCTGGAGTATTGATAAAGTCTACCACCTGGTTGTATTGCTTCTAGTCTGCTCCTTCCAAAGACAAACTCTAGACAGAAATTGGAGACATTTTTCTAGCACAAATTGTGTATACTGTCTTTCTGCTTCTATTTTCCAAGTTTTCTCTAGAATTAACTCTAACACCATTAATATGGCATGAAAATAAATTCTGAATGACATCTTTGCTTAGCTCTCTGTTTTCCTATTTTAGCACTTTCTCTTTACCCTTTATCAATATCACCTATATGGAATTTTAGTTTAGGTCTCAGATACATCTTTTATTTAGCTTCTGGGTCTCTACATTTATTATCTCTTCTTTCTAAAAATATTTTCTTCCTTTTTGTGGATAGATTCTAGTGAAGCCACTTGTCATTGATTAGGAATCACTCCTTAAGAAAATGTTCCCCACGACTTAAAATTGTATTAGGTGCCCTTCCTGTGTCTTTATGTAGTACTGTGCTTTGCCCATGACAGTATAGATCATAATTAATTTTCTTTCTTTGTCTATTTTCTCTGTAAGACCGTAATTTCTTTGAGGGCTTGAATTTCTCAGCCCTAGTGTTATGTTTCTCACAGTCTTAGATAATAAGTAAATACATAGTAGTATTCATTATTCAAGAAATCTTAAAATAAAATAAAAATTAACATAACTTCCTTCACTAAAGATTCCTGGGTCTAAAACCTAAATCTTTAATGTAAATGTCATCTTCTATGCTCATGAACCTTATCTAGTCTCAATTATCTAATCCATGTATAAGACTAAAATATGAAGGGAAATGATAGACAATGCAGATTATAATTAATTTTGCATCTAATCAATACATAACTAAGTTAGCAATTGTTCATAGAAAAGTAAGCTTACCATTAAAATTCAAAAATCAGGATACTAACAAGATTCTTCTTTATTTCATTTGTATTTTAGATTAAACTAGGAAAAGATAAGCAAATTAGCAAGGAAATAAGATATTAAAGCACTGTGACAGAGAAAATAATTTTTAAGAGTTATTTTGCCAATAAAAATATCAGTTAAAATTGTTTAATACTATTGAAAGTTATCTTTATATATATTCATACATATATATATACACACACATTATAGCAATGCTGATTAATACTTGTTATTCATATTATGGATCTAATAAATTCCCAATCCTAAATTTTTCCCTACCAATCTTTACCCCTCTTCAGATACTATTTTCTTCATTGTTTACTAAAAAATCCAACAAACTGCCAAATGTTTCTGGAGGCTTCTCTGTGGTGTGGGAAGACAGTCACTCTCTCAGCCAGCCCTGCAACTTTGATATTGATGCATCTCTCCCGGGGCTGCAGTGAAGATAAATTACCAGTTGTCATTTTTCTAAAGTATGCCTTTTAGCTCTTCAGACTATAGTAAATGAATAAAATGACTTAAAATAGTAATAAATTGGGGTTTATCATCAATGCCATCCCTGCAGTGGCATGTCAATATCAAAGGGCACACTAGCAAAGAAAACCACTAATACTAAATTTCAAGCTGAGATACATCTTGCCTAACAACCGAGAGAGAAAAAAAATCAAGCCTCGTGAGGGAAATAGCAAGTGATCGCAGGAAAATTAAGAAGTGAAAGAGAACACTTAAAGATGTACGAAAAGGCAAATTTGGTCTAAATTTTAGGCCAGAGAGGACTTTTCAAGTACACCTGACAATTCAGGTGCTTAGATTGCAATAAGAGTTCTCAGTATGAATCCAATTTGTGCAAATTTATATCTGTTGCATAGTTGGTTCTCAATAAATACTGCTGTAATAGTTCAGATAAATCTGGATTTCTATCATGGATCTATCTAGCGAAAGGATTTGGTGACCTCTTTGGAAAGAAGCCATGCTAAATGATAAAAGCAGAAAGTTTGAGTGTCATATAATGGCATTTATTGAATTATTGGAGGCCAAATTTATGAACGTATATCTGATTCCTGAGTAAGAGGAGCTGTACATAGAAACAGAAAGGGCTATTTCACTAAAAACTCTGTGACATCTGGGACATAGGAAACACTTCTTTGGGTCTAATGTAAAGCAAGTGAAGTGAGAGAGAGAAATTATTCTCATGTTAGTGCTAAGACTGTATAGTTCTTCTGTTTCAAGAGCACCAGAGTGGAGAATGCAAGTTTGGTACGTATCAGAGAGATGCAGTAACTTCTATTGAAAAACTTAAGTCACATGAGTTTCTCTTTATGGTAGGAGACCATATTCTCCATACGGATAACTAGTATTACGTGCATTGATCAATTAAGAGTAACAGTGTCTGACACATAGTAAAAGCTCAATAAATAACAGCACCATATCTTTTCTTCTATTTACCTGTACTCCTTTGATGATTTTATTACTTCTCATAACTTTAAACCTGTAACCCTGTGACTCAGGATATATTTTGAAGGTAAAATTAACAGGAATTGCCTGGACTGGTTATAGAGGGTGGTGAAAAGGGAGAAGTTAAATATGACTCCAAAGATTTTTGTCTGACCAAAAGAAATAATTGAATACCTATTTACTAAAATGAAAAAAAAAAAAGCCTGCTGTTGATAAGGTTTTGAGGTGAAAGCAAGATTTCAGGTTGGAATGTATTGTGTGACATGGTTTTTAGTCAATCAAGTATTATAAAGTCAAGCTGAATCGAGTTGAAAATAGCAGTCAGTGCTAGATATAAATTTGGAAGTCATCAAATATGAGAATTAATAAGATCACCAAAAAAAGATGTGTTGACAGAAAAGAAGAAAAGTTCCCAAAATCTGAGCACTAGGACATTTAAAGTTTTAGAGGTCTGAGAGGTGAGAAGGGATCAGCAAAAGTGAATTCTCACAGTGATGTTAAAAATAAAATAAAATAAAGGAGAATGCATTACAGTAAAAGCCAAGTTGAAGAAAGTGATCAACCTCTGACAAATGCTGCTCATCTATGAAGATGATTTCTCAGAATCAGTCATTGAAGCCAGCAAGGTGAAAAATCACTGGTGACACTGGTAAGTCATGGCTGGCTAGCCTATACTGTAGCTTTGTGAAAATTAGGGGGAAAAATTCTATTTCCACTGGGTAGATAAAGACCCACATCAGGGTGCATGGTAAAGCACAAGCTAGATTTCATCTTCCATTTGCTACATACACTCGAGTAGTGAGAATATGCAGAACGAGCTACATCCATGTAGATAAAAATGATTTCAGTGATGTTGTGGATCTGAGAAAATTATTAGGGTAGATTGAAGAGATAATATGATGAGATAAATTAGAAACATAAATGTGGAATAATTATGGAAAAGAAAATTTTGCTATTAAAAGAGAGAAATAGAGTAGTAGTTGGTGAAGTAGAGGTATCAAGTGAAGATTTTATTTTTAAAATTATAGCAGATGTTGCCAGTGTCCTATTCACATAGCTGCAAACTCATTTTTGTTGTACACACTGGCAGTTTCCTATTGCAACTCTATCTTCTTCGCTAACTGCAGGAGCATGCACAGTCAGGTAGGATGGGCTGGAGAATATGCCTCAGCAGGTATTACTCAACCAAGGTGGGTGGAATGGGTAAGTACCCTCATGTCCTAAATTATTTTTATGGCTAATGTCCAAACTCATGAATCTTCTTAGATTGTGTTAAAAATAATCTATTATGTTGTGTAGCAGAGCAAATCAATGCATCTTGTGGTAACTGGAATGTACATCTTCTCCCAGTAAATAATTTTTTTCTTCATTCCAATATCATAGAACACCACAAATAGTTTGCTTACATTTGGCAAACACAGTACATTATTCTGCCTCAAGGACACATCAGATTTTGCCTTGTATCTTATTTAGTTTGTAAGGATTAGGCTCCTCACCAACACATTGAATATTTTGATGCAATCACCACTGGAACTTGGAGAGTGGGAAGTAGCAAGCACCTTGGATGCCTTGGGAGTACTCATGGTTGGAAGATAAATCCTGTCATAAAAGAGGTACCTTTCATCTCAGTGATTTTTCTGTGAAAATAGTATTCTGAGACAGGCTGAAAAAAAATTCCCATAAAAGGAACATCCCTAAATGATGCAAAACTGTAAATTCAATCTATTTAATTATGCATTTTTACTAATACACATACAAGTGTTGTGGCATTGTAAAGTGTATTATTAATGACACAATATGCAATAGTATAAATTAAACACAAATACCTTGACAATTTCAAAGCCATAATTTTATTTTATACTTCAGTAAAATGGATTAGGAAAAATGGATGTTTTAAAAGTATACACACATAGCCAGGGACAAACATACACTCAAAGATTATATGTTACATTAACAACAAATAAGAGTTGTTTTTTTCTCCAAAACACAGATGTCAGGAGTTTAAAATATTGAATTCACATGTTACTAAACAAAATATAAATGTTTAATGCTAATTAAAATAGCATTGTTTATGTGAAGAAACTAAGCACTTCTTTCTCTTTTTAAATCATTATTACCCAATTCATTTAAAATGTAGTTTATAAACAACCATGTCTATGGCATAAGCAGCATCAGGAATTAGGAAACCACTTTTAAATATGAATACTAAATACAATATTTCTGAAAACTGTAAATTCTTAACTTTGATTTTATACTTATAAATTTTTATCCTCATTTGTTATATTTAGTGAATTTTTATCTGATTGTTCTCTCTGGCCCTGGGAGACTGAACTGTATTTACTTCATGAAATAATTAAAAACATAATTATTCATTGAGTTAGAAATATAAAAACATTAGCAAAATATCTGAAGGAGTATTTTTGTCCTTAAGGTTTCATATTTACACAATTTAAATTATTGCTAGTAATTTGCCTCTAATAAGCTGGACTCTACTTTTCAGAAAGATTATTTAACAAAGTTTTGAATTATAAGTAATATGTTTTACATATGAAAATATATGGCAGATCTGAGAACAAGTAAAATAAGAAAATATAACAGTATTTATATCATATAAAGAGATAATATCTAATATTATATACCTATGTATGTTGTATATAAATGTAAACAAATGTTATAATTTATGGTACAAAATCTGTGGGCTTGCACTGCAAAATTAGGAGATAGGTGTTAATTAGTATTATTTTCCTCTTCTACCTTATTAGTTTCAAAAGAGACATACTTTTCACCTTGTCAATTTGAACATACTTGTATCACCTTTGGGCTGGATAAATAATTAATGATGAGTAGATCATTTTTCTTAAAATGTTGTTTATGATATCTTTATTGTTTCAAATTTGGGGAATTTAATTATTTTACACGCAAAATAACATACTTCTACTAAAAGTATGTGTTGAACATGAAAGGCCCTGAAAAAAAGAGCTTTTCAATTCGTATCTAACAATATGTTTCACTCATCTTTATTATAAGAAAAAATTTTCCAATTTAATTTAATATGTAACTGAGGATACCTTTTAGTTTGATGAAATTAAGCAAAATGCATAAGCAGCTAAGACTTAACAACTTGAAATAAATTTAGGTAATATTCCAGGAGGCTATACTCTTCCAGTTACATCTTCCTAAATGTGAGTGGATAGGAAAACCTCAGTAATGTCCCCTTATATTTTAATTAAGTTTTTATTGTCCCCATAGAAGCTAAAAACATAGGCTGATTGTTATTAGTAATCAAATTTTGGCTATAAAGATATGAGTAAAAATATTTCAGGCCTCTGCAAATTTAGAATAACATAATTCATCACCAAAATGGAGTGATTCTTCTGGGATCAACATGTATGCATCTACTCAGATTATCAGTTTCTGTATGCCATATTTTGACCCTGCCTATTGTTTAAAAGTTCCTAGGTGTTGGAGTAAGAATGAGGCCTGAGTTTTCATCTTTATTTTTCTTCATAACAGCCATGGAAAGGGCCTAAATCCTCCAAACCTTAATTTACTTATCTGTAAAAGTGGAATAATTGTATCTTTTTTGACAACACATTCTATTGGTAAGATACTCTCATACATTTTCATGTAGGGAAAATTAGCAATGTCTAAATAAATTACATCTGCATTTGTCCTTTGATCCAGCAATCTCACTTGGAGACATTTATCCCTAAGATGGAGATCAGCAAATACTAATCAACAAATGCAAAAATATATATGGAATTTCCTTGTTTTGATGACATTAGACATTTTTAAAGGGTACTAGTCAGGTATTTTGTGAAATGTTTCTCAATTGTAATTTGTCTGATTTGTTCTCATAATTACATTTTGGTTATGGGTTTTGATAAGGAAGACCACAGAGGTAAACTGCCAATTTCATCGCTTCATATCAAGTCGACATCCTATCAACATGACTTCTCACAGTGCATGTTGACTTCTCTTGATCACTAGGCTGAGGTAGTGTTTTTCCAGTTTCTTCACTAAGTCACTCTCTTCTTCCCTTTATCCACACTGCACACTTTGGAAGGAAGTCCTTATGTGCAAACCAGACTCAAGAAGTGGAGAGTTATGCTCTCTTTCTTGAGGATGAAGTATCTAAAATTGAAATTTATTTGAAATTCTTCTGCTCAGATTTACTTCTTCTCTTCCATTTATTCAATAATTGATTTATTTCCGCATAGACTCGTGGATATTTGTTTCCGTGGTTTGAGTTATAGTTTAATTCTGCCTTATTAACATTGTTGCTCTGATTGTTCCAGCTCTGACCAGCTCTTTCAGTGCGCTCCTGTGTCCCATGTGCTTATCGCCATCACTCACATTGTGTAGTGTGTGTGTGTGTGTATGCATGCGTGTGTGTGTGTTTGACCATTCCCTTCTTACTCTTAGGCTCTACAAAATGCTTCATGCTTGTCTTGTATATTTCCTGCTACAGTCCTAGAATCACCCATTTCCCCAGGTTACCTAGTTCCTTTATTGAAGAATGGTATTTGAAACCAAGATTTGGGCACTCTATGTGCTAGCTGCTACTAGGGTATGGTTGTTTCTAGGCCCTCTCAGCTGAGAGCAAGAAAATAAATTTGTGTATACTAACCCATGTGTATGCAAATACCTGTAAATATTTTTCTATGAAGCCATCTTATATTATGCTAAACATGAGTTCATGCTGTTTCCAATCCTAATCCATCACCATATAGATTATGCTAGCTTTCACCCCTTACTTATTTCCAAATTCCCAGACCAACAATAAGAAATGTGGCTCCCACCTCCACCATACATTTATGTAATTATTCCATCTCAGTATACATGAGTAGCAGTATCAGAATGTTACACTGTCCTCCAGTGAGAGACAACTTGATCAGTTAGAGTACCATGCTTATGTATAGCTGAATTTGCCTTAGACATATAGACTCTATTCTCTTTTACTCCCCGCTCCCTTCAGCGAGGTTATTTCGTGTATTTGTCATATAGTTAAATTGTTTCCACATTCTGCATTCCATATTGGTATCCCTGACCTCCTAAATTATTTTATTATTTGTTTACATTAAAGTTTACTCTTTGTGATGAAAAGTTATATCGGTCTTGGTAAATGCATAGCTATTTCTCCACAATAAAATGTTACATAGTACAGTTTCACCTCCTTAAAAAATCCTATGTGCTTCACCTATTCAACCTTCCCAGCTTCCCCAAAACAAGGGGCAGTACTGATTTTTGCTATGTCTATAGTTTTGCCTTTTCTAGAATGCTGTATAAGAATCATACAGCTTATAACTTTTTAGAACTGACTCCTTTCACATAACAATATACATTTAAAATTCATTCATGTCTTTTCATAGCTTAATAGCTCTTTTTTTTATCATTAAATAATATTACATTGTATGAAGGCACCACAGTTTGTATATTCATTTGCAAATTAAAGAAAATGGTGGCTGCTTCTAGTTTGGGGTCTACATAAATAAGGTTACTATAAACATTCACATGCAAGCTTTTATGTGGACATAACATTTCAAATCAGCTGAGTAGATACCTAAAAAGAGAGATTGCTGGATCTTATGGTAGGTTTTTCTTTTGTTGTTGTTGTTGTTTTTTGAGACGGAGTCTCACTCTGTCGCCCAGGCTGGAGTGCAGTGGCGCGATCTTGGCTCACTGAAAGCTCCGCCTCCTGGGTTCACGCCATCCTCCTGCTTCAGCCTCCCGAGTAGCTGGGACTACAGGCGCCCGCCACCACGCCTGGCTAATTTTTTTTGCATTTTTAGTAGAGACGGGGTTTCACTGTGTTAGCCAGGATGGTCTCGATCTCCTGACCTCATGATCCGCCCGCCTTGGCCTCCCAAAGTGCTGGGATTGCAGGCGTGAGCCACTGCGCCCGGCCCTTATGGTAGGTTTTTAAGAAATTATCAAACTGCTTTCCAACTTGTCTGTAGCCTTGAATGTCCACCACCAATGATGACAGTCCCTGTCGCTCTGCTTTCTCTCCAGCAACTATCATTGTCAGTTTTGGGGATTTTAGATGTTCTAATAGGTGTGTAATGACATCTTGTTGTTTTAAGTTGAAGTTCTCTAACGATAACAGATGTGAAGCATATTTCCATATACTTATTCACCATCTATATATCTTCTTCGCTGAGGTGTTTATTCGGATGTTTTACCCATTTTTAACTGGATTATTTGGTTTATTTATTGTTGAGTTTAAAAACTTCTTCGTATATTTTGGATATAAGTTCTTTATCACATTTATGTTTTCAGATATTTTCTCTCAGTCTACGGCTTGACCTTTCATTCTTATAACAGTGTTTTCCACAGAGTAAAGGTTTTAAATTTTAATAAAATTCAAACTCTGTACAACATGAAGTCCAAGTATTTATTTTTATGTTAATTTTATATTCCAGTAGGTGACTGAATAGTTTGAATATTTATGTTAGGTTTATCACTGATCTCCTTTCGTTTTCTAGTTTTGCAATCATCTCATCTGAAAATAGAGTTTTACTATTTTTGCAATCCTTATTCTTCAAATTGATTTCTCTTGTCTGATTACATTCACTAATAAATCCCATACAGTGCTAAGTAGTGAAGGAGATAATGGGCATTCTTGCTTTGTCTATACACATTTTAATTACTCATTAACAATTTCCCAACTTATTACATTATCTAGTTGATATTAACTTTACTTAATAAAATTTAATGATTGAAATTATCTGTCATCTTATTATTATGATTCTCTCAAACACAGAGTGAAATGTATTATCCTATTGGACAAACTATAATTATTGTTCTCTATATGGCGCCTCTCTTGTTTTATTTATGTATTATGTTTGAAATCCTGTTCTTTGTTCTTATTTTATTCTCCCAAATGCAAATACTTTATTGAATTGAATTAATATTCTTAAATTTTTATGTCTATTAAAAATATGCCAGGGTGTCTTGTGAGAATATGTTAAAGACACATAAATTATGCCTTGTTAGCAAAATATTCTGTTTCTTACTTTATTCATTAAGTATTGTGTTTTTAAAAGTTTTGGTCCTACTAAGTTTACACCTAGCTTGTGTTTCAATTTTTTAGAAGTCTATAGCATTTATCCACCATAATTTATTTGCACAATCTCCACTTAGAGACAAAAAGATCACTTTCAACTCTCACTTCATCATATTTGGCTTCTTTTACCCTATTTGTGATAATATGGAGCCAGATGTGAAATAAATGTATATAGAATATAAATATAAATAACTTACAATGTACTGAGATGCTGCACATCAAAATGGCCTCACCAGTGTAAACTCCCACAAACACTGGCTGATTGTCTGAGTTTTCCAAAATTCCTACTACTACTTGGCACCATTCTTAAATATATATAGTGTGTGTGTGTGTGTGTGTGTGTGTGTGTGTGTGTGTGTGTGTGTGTTTTGGTTGCTTTTTTTGTATTTTCTATTTTTTTTTCGCTTCTGCCTGATTGTGATGTTTAATTTTATGTGTCAACTTGGCTAGGCCAAAATATGAGACATTTGGTCAAACATTATTCTATATATTTCTGTGAAGGTATTTTTGGGGTGGGATTAACATTTAAACTGGTAGAATTTTAGCAGAGCAAATTGTCCTTTGTAATGTGAATGAACATCATCCAATCATTTGAAGACCTTAAGAAAACACTGAACCTCCCCTGAAGAGGAGATAATAATTCCAGAAGAATAAAACTGTGTCTTTGGACTCAAACTGCATCTCTTCCTTAGGTCTTTAATCTGCCAGCCTACTCTACAGGTTTTGAGCTTGCTAGCCTCCACATCACGAGTCAATTCCTTAAATAATCTCTCACTCTCTCTCTCTATATATATATGTATATATGTATACACACACACCCCACCCTGCAGTTTACTGGTTTTGTTTCTCTGGAGAACACTGACTAGTAAACTGACTTTCATAATATTTTTAGTGGCTAATATATTTGTATCTAAATTTTTTGGTAATCCTTAATATAACCAAAGTTATTTCAGGTGTTCTATTATTGCAAGTTTATGAGGAATGAGTCATTTTTCTGTTTTTTGACCCTTATCAATTACGTTTCTTAGAATTACATTTCTTCATGCATTTTGCAAATGTCTTAACCTTTGATTTGAAATTCTTTGTTTTTCCTATTCTCTCATCTGCTTTCATTGTACCCATTTTGGAATTGCTTTCACCTGGCTCCCTGTCACTTAGTCTAAAACTAGGTCTTATATGTAAATTCCAAACCTACAATGACATTGAGGATAGATAACAGGACCTTGTCACTAGCCTCCTCTAAGGTATACAACTTTATATGGGACATTGTTCAGTCAATGCCATAAGAGTTTGATTTGCTTCTTTGTTTGTTTATTGCCCCCAGCCCTACCACTACCATTCTTGCTTTTTAGCAGTGATCTTAGTTCTAGTGCCCACTTTCTGATAAGCAGTATAAGTACTTGTTATACTATGAGAATCAAACATCCATCTGCCTTTGTCTGCTTAAAGAGTTGCCATAAAAGCCCAAGCTTGAGCCCTTCCCTGGACTCTGTTTCTTGTCCACAGTCTGCATGAATAATTTATTGTGTCTAGCCATTACAGGATAAGTTTCAAAACTCTTAACACAGAAACGTTCACCATCTTTAAAATGTTAGAATATAAAACAAGCACCACTGACAGACCCCAAATGAATAAAAAACAAATAAATAATGAATGGGTAAACATTAAAAATATGATTACATTTACACTTTATAGCTGTTAAGAGAGAGGTTGGTGGAATATAGTAGGCAAGAAGAAATCATAATTTGACAGCTAAGTAGGATGTGTTTTATCATCTTTGAATTTAGAAAAGAATTAGTGGAGAATGTGGGATTTTAAGAACTGCATAAAAGAGGGGAAAAAGAGAGCTGAGTATGCTAACAAAGAATTCATTTTACTACATTACTCTACATATTAGTATTTACTTCTTGGTTAGTTTTGTAGCAGTTTGCCTTATGATGTTCTCTTTTTGCTTAGGTAAGCATTTCTGAAGTTACAAAGTCTATAAGATGTTTTGACAAAAGGAAAAAAAAGTATTTTTACACTAGAGTTTTAGAATTGCCTTATTTTAATTACTCTTTTCCCTTGCCTCCAAAAAAAAAAACCTGAACAATATTACCTACTGTGAGACTTTTCTGTCAGGTGGAAAATTATATAACCTAGTGGAAAACACAGCTGATGCCCTTCACTGTATATGGAAAAAAACAATAAACCTGGCACACACTGTTTTCTTTGTCTTGCTTTATGAGTGATATTTCTCCAGAGATAGCCATATCTGGACATCAGGGTTACTTTGACAATAGTTGGAATAAAAGACTACCCGGCTGAGATCTTGGACCAGATGATCTTAAAAAGTTCTTAGAACCATGACATTATATGATGCTTTGCATCAGGCACTGTAATGTGGTAGAAATAACAAGAAATTTTAAGTAATATGATATGAATTTTATATCTGGTTTGTCATTTACTAGTTGTATAAACTTGAAATCCATGAAGCTCAATCTCCTAGTTTTTAAAATGTGACTAACAATACTTACTGTCTGTTGTGAAAATACATTGAAAGAACGAATATAAATCACACACTAAAAATGAATTACAGACCAGGTGCGGTGGCTCAATGCCTGTAATCCCACACTTTGGGAGGCTGAGGCAGGCAAATCACTTGAGGTTAGGAGTTCAAGACGAGTCTGGCTAACATGGTAAAACCCCATCTCTACTAAAAATACAAAAATTAGCTGGGCATGGTGGTATGTGCCTGTAGTCCCAGCTACTCGGGAGGCAGACCATGAGAATAACTTGAACCCAGGAGGCAGAGGTTGCAGCAAAAGAATTATATTTTCTCTCTTCTATAAAATAGAGGATGACTGGAGAAAATTTTAGATAATTGTGGTGTTTTAAGATATTGAAATATAATTTTAAGATACTGAAACACAATCACTTCACTTATGAATCAGCTAATGGAAAACACACATTCACACAGTTTCCCAGTATCTCTCTCTCTCTCTCTCTCTCTCTATCTCAACAACACAACACACTTACCTTGAAGGATTATTTTAACAGGGTATCTCTACCTCCTTCCTTTTTTGGCAATAGCTTGATTTTGAAACTAATAAAGTTTTCTTTATTTATCATGAAAATACCACTTTGGACTCACTGAAATTTTTATTACATAAACTGATAAATTTTATGTTATATAATGTAAGGATCAATAAAGACATTTTTAAAATGTACCTGTACACTTAATAAACTAGTTTTCTTTAGAAATATCCACTGATTTTGCTGTTCATCAGAATTTTACACCAAGAGCTGCTGATTAATTCAACTCCTTTGGTGTGATGGCCAATGGATTGTCTGCTTATCAATGTAGCATTGATCCTGTTTGACAACAATGAATAGTCACTGGCATGCTAATTTATGACTTTTAAAAATGTCTGATCTGCTGTAAAGCCACAAAAACTCTACTAAATATGATATGCAATGACCATATCATTACTATGATATCAAAACAACTTTCTCTACCAATACAGGAAATTTTTTTCTTGGATACCCTTTTATAAAAAATTGGTAAAATTTTTGTATATTAGACTAAAATTTCACTTGTAGTGTGTATTTTGAATCTACTTTATTGCTGGCTGTTATTTAAATTATGTTTTCGTATTGTTTGGAATCAGAAGAAATATATTGAGCTGCTTCCAGAGTGGCAAAACCTTCAAAAACTTCAAAAAGAAAATATTTGAACTAACAAAAAATGAATTGTAAGATGGTAGAAACAAAGCAAAAATTAAGAGACATTAAATTTTAATAATAATGACAACACTATCATTTAATTCTCATAACAGTTACTACTCTTCCTGTTTCCACAGATGAAAACACTGAGATAGAGAGAAGCTAAGTAACTTGCCAAAGGCCACCCTTGTACTAACTACTGGAGCTGGGATTGCAACTCAGTAAATCTGACCCTGGAATCTATTATTTTATGCTCTATGCAGCCTCATATTAGTAGCACAAAATTTAGACAACAAAATATATGTGAAAATATCTCTCACATTTCCTGGATAATGTTTGATGAATCTGGATTTAAATTACCTTCAAGACTCATACAAATCAAAGCTTCTTTGAATAACATAATCTTTCATGGAGATTTTTTATGACAAGTTTGATAATTTCTCCTTCTTAGTTTCTGAAAATAATTAGGAGAAATTTATATATTGTAAAGATAAGTGGTTGAGAACTTCTGGTTTCTGGTCTAAGAGGTAAAGAACTTCGAAGTTGTCCCTCCCGTCTCACAAGATAAAAGGTGAACAAACTGAATCAATAACTGTTCTTAGACCCATCAGAAAACTGAGGTTATAGAGCAAACTTCTGACTCCAAAATTGGTGATATAGACAGGTAGATACGGAAAAGCACAGATTTCTAGGATGAAAAGCCCAGGAGCGGTAGCCTGCAGCTGGAGCTAATATCAGTGGGATCACTTTAAGTTATCATTGACGAATTGCTCTAGATTCAGGTTAGACTAACTTGAGAGTTAAAATACTCTGAAAAAGCCTCAGTATTGGAGTGGAGGGGGCACACTCATGTGAGTTTTACCTCCAGGAATCTTGCCAGGCTCTCACTGTGAAGACTGAAGAAAAATCCCCTCATACTCTGGCAGGAATAGAGGGAAAGTAATTATTTTGAAATTGTAAACTAAAAAATAAAATCCTCAGTCACCTAACCACTGATCAAAACCCCCTTGGCCAAGAGAACCCCAGAGAAATCTTGAAAACTGAGTTTCTAGACATAATAAAATGGAAAGTCTCACACGCCTCGTTATAACCCTTCCCTTTTGTAGTTTAGACACAACTGACCGGCATTAATATTAAAATAGAGATAGCAATACTGACAGCACAAACTCTTTGTCACAATAAAGATAGTGAAGTATAAACAAGATCCAAGGCCATGACAGGCAAGGGTTATGTCACCCATCCCTACACTTAAGGGATAAACTAAGTTCTAACTGCCACAAGGTTTTTCTTTTTCTCTTGCAGCCATACAAGCACTGGCCTTGAGAAAAGCAATCTTAAAACAATTGTGGCTCACCACCGGATGCTGGCTAACTGACCCCCCTCTTCTGCAAGCCATAACTATTAGGTTGTTGCAAAAATAATTGCAATTTTTACAAATACTAATACAGCTTTGACAGGACAAGGGACTAATTGCAGTAACTCTCTACTCAAAAGAAAACCACTGAACGAATGGAATTAACAAATCTTTTTAGACCCATCAGAGAACTGAGGTTACAGAGCAAACTTCTGACTCCAAAACTAGTGATACAGACAGGCAGATATGGAAAACCATGGATTTGGCCAGTTTACGTAAAGAGGCCAAAATGCCTTCCTGTCCCTGCTTCACCTTTTGATGTAGAGGGCCTAATTGTGACATTTAAATATTAAGTCATCCCCCTAAAGTGAACATGGTCGTATATTACATGCGTTAGTTCAGTACTCATGCATCAGGACCGCCTTCATGAATATTCATAGCTCTTTCTGTAACATGTTGGATATGGTATACTTGACCAACCTGTTCAGCTTAAATTTCTATTTTACCCCCCTTCTCCCTCAAAGTGCGTGCCTAACAGTCTGCCAGAGGCTATGCTTTTCAGCCTTTTAGGACTGCCAGCCCTCAGGCTATAACCCTTTGTTAGAAATAAAGTCTCCTTTCCAAATTTATAAAATATGTGATTTTTTAAGTTAACAAAATTTACCCAGGGTTCTTTGCTCTTAAAAGGGCTTGCCCTAAGGGATTGTTTTGTTTTGTTTTGTTTTGTTTTGTTTTGTTTTGTTTTTAACTAGAGGCTAACCCAATGGGGTTTTACCAAAGATTAACCTGGGGAAAGAAAAATATCCAACTCAAGTTCACTTAATAACTGACACCAACTAGTCATCAGAGAAATGCAAATCAGAACCACAATGAGCTATCATCTCACTCATGTTAGAATGGTCATTATCAAAAAGATAAAAAAATAAGTGTTGGCAGGGATGTGGAGAAAAGGGAACCCTTACACACTGTTGGTGGGAATGTAAATCAGTATGATATGAAAAACAGTATGGAAGTTCCTCAAAAATTAAAAATAGAACTACCATATGATCCAGCAATCCCACTTCTAGGCATATATCCAAAAGAAAAAAAAATTTAGTACAGCAAATCCTCAAATAACATGATTTTGTTCAACTTTATTTTATTAGAAAGGGGACACTGTCTGTGTGGAGTTTGCACATTCTTCCCATGTCTGCCTGAGTTTTTTCCAGGGATTCTGATTCACTCCCACATCCCAAGATGTGAATATTATGTTCATTAGTGTGTCTAAATGGTCCTAGTGTGAGTGAGTGTGGCTGTGTGTGTGTGCCCTGTGATGGGACAATGTCCTCTCTGGAGTTGACTCCCACCTTCTGCCCCGAGCTGTTGGGATAGGCTCTGGCCACCAGCTACCCTGAACTGGAGTAATTGGGTAAATAATCACCTAACATGTTTTCATTAATATTTTTAAATGTATATATAGCTTACATTTATTTCAATGTTTAATATTAAAAGTGTTTGGGGTTTTTATTTAGAAGTTTGGGGTTTTTTATATGGCCAGAAATATGCCATAGAAACTTAACTCATTTATATCAATTAGCTCAGGGTAAAATTGGTTTTGTTATATGTTGTTTTCTTTAAAGTTGCAATTTCCAAAAATATCTCAACAACATTCAGTGAGGGCTTACCATATATTGAAGAGACATCTGCACTCCTGTGTTTATTGCAGAATTAAATTCACAATAGCCAAATATGGAATCAACCTAATAAAGAAACTGTGGTATATGTGCACAATGGAATACCATTAAGCCTTGAAAAAGAAGGAAATCCTGTCATTTGTGACAATGTGGACTGAACTATTATATATATAACAAATTCAATGGGGGAAAAGGAAACTAACACCTAATGTCAATAATAGAGCAATATATATAGAACTTCTCATTTCCATATCATATCAACACATCAAGAGGGCTCCAGTATAACAACACAGGACTAAGATAACAGGAGAGCCAGAAACAAAGAAAAAATAGGAAATTTTAGGCTCTTACATCACAGCCACAACTAACAACAAATAAAGCCTAAATCCTAACCAGATAAACATAAATATTACACTAAAGGCTCACACACCTTAGTTCCTTTTACCTGATTTACAGTTATAAATATGGTAGAAATAAATCCAACTACATAATCACTTTAAATGCGAATAATATGAATATACCAATTAAAAGATACAGACTGCCAACGTAGATTTAAAAAAAAAATGAGACTCAACTCTACATTGATTATAAGAAAGATAAATGGTTAAGCTGAAAATTTTTGTTATTCAAGGAAAAAGTACTTATTCATCTTTCTTAATATTTACTTTTTTCTATACATTATTTCGATATCTTTGTATCTGGCACATTCTTTAAAATACTTCGCAATGTGAATAACAGAAACCCAACTCAAACTGGTTTAAGCAGTGAAGTGAACATTCCAGACCTTGGAATACATTTATCTAAAAACCTCAGGTCTAAAACCTTGACCTCAACTCAGAACTCAAACTGTCATGGGAAGCTGGTTTCTCTCTCTATCTACTTCATTTCCCTATGTGATGTCATTCTTAAACAGATTTTAAGAGGGCTGTCAAAAGTGCCTAGGTTCAGAGTCAACCAGAAATAGTGAGATTATTTCCCCTCATTTGGAACCAAACTCATTTTGTTTCATTGCTCCCTATGACTTAGGTGGCCATCCCTAATCCCAACATAGTCACCTAAACAATGTAATATACTGTGTGGATTTGGTCTATGTGCAGTAACTGCCACTGGCAACACTTGAGACAAGTGGGAGGAATGTATGATCTTCTGAAGGGAAAAATGTGTACAGTTACTAGGACAAGGGTCATAGAAGCTGGACTGCAAAAATCAATGTCCACTCCATGTAGTTGAAATACAATATCAGGAATATTTTTCTACATTGTATTCAATTTACTCATTGTTCATTTCCACATGGCTTCTAATATGTTACTGGGAAACTGAACTTCTTTAAACCAAACCATACTGAACTGAAAGAATGTGAATTATAATGAATTGAAGAGGTGGATATTGGAGATTCCTCCTAACTGCATGATTTTGTAGGTAATAGCATTAAGAAAGATTAAGGGAATAAACTGGCTTTTCATTCATCCTCCAATTCAAAATAAACAGTAGTTTAAACAGGGAACAATACAAAAACAAGTAATAATTATCTAAGGTATGAAAGTGTTGTTTCCTAGCATATGTGATTTTAAAGTTGCCAAAGGATAGGAGCTTTCTTTGATCATTAGTTTTTGAGCTTTTTGCCATAATGCTGCCACATTTTGCTGTGGTGGTTCTATATAATAGCAATAAATCTTTAACAGGGAAAATATGTGGAAGGACAATTATAAGCACTTCAGAAACATCTCTTGACATTTTTAGAATGAGATTCACGTTAGGTTCACCCACTTCTACATTTAGGCCTGACCTTTTCGTATCAAGAGATTATATCAGATAGGTACTGCACATCAGCAATGGCTAATTAAAACATCTTACTGAAAGCAAGATAGGAAGGGAGAGAAAAATAATAAAAAATGAACATATATTTGCCTCCAATATATACATATTGCATTTTTCCAATCTAATTAGTCAACATCATGTAAAATCTTTCTTGTTTCTGAAATGAAGCATAATCATATTTTACTTACTGAACATCAAGTTGCATGATATGAGAAGATGTTTGTTACGAACACAAAATGAACATTTGATTCTTGTCAAATGGATGAAAAAAAAATTGTCTTCCATAAACACTGAATTTCCTAAGCATTTATACATCTCAGAAAATTTAGAACTTCACTCTCAAACTGCTATCCCACCAAAGCTTAAAAACTAACTAGGTATATAAGATGGAAACATTATTGATGTGACTTTATTGTCTGGGGTAATATCCAAGGTTCGTCATCTCACGCCAAAAAGATTAATGACATAGACATAAAGACACAGAGCAGGTTAAGGAGCAGAAGGTTTAACAGACAAAAATAAATAAATAAAAGAGAGAGAGAGACAGCTTTCTCATACAGAGAAAGCGGGGTGCCCAAGAGGGTTTCCAGATTTGGGGAGGGATGCGATTGATTTTGTAGAGAGGCTTGAGGAGGCAGTGATTGATTTAAATGGGGCCCAGGGGATTGGTTTCACCCTAATCTTTTTTATGCATATGTGGTCTCTACCTGGATGGCACCATAACACCCCTACACTGGCTACAAAGAAAAGGGAGGGAGGAATCCCATGTTGAAATGTACCTGGCTTCCAGGTACAGCTGCTGTCATTTACACATGCAAGCTTCCAGCTTGCTTATCTATGCTTGCTTGCAGCTCGATTTTTCAGGCTGTTCTTTGTTAGAAAAGAAATGGTTTGGGGGCTGCTTTTTATTGAAGGAAAATTCCACTGAGAATTCTTTTACCCTCACTAACTGCCTAAAATAATTTCTTTTTAACTCCTATATTATTATGGGAAGAGAATTATTAACAAAGTCAGAAATTAATGTCAATTACGCTTCCACTGTCATTCATAATTATTGGCTTAATATGAGGTATTCCTACTTTATAAATGGCCATCGCCTAATATTTAATAAGCATAAAAAAGTAGTTTCATATTTCTTATGAAATTTTCAGCAATGGTTAATTTTATTTCATAATGTGAGTTTTAAAGAACATAACTAAGCTAACAATATATTCTATAATAGAATTATAGAGTATTGCCAACACTACTTTGTAAATTTGATTTTATTTTGTTTCCAAACAAGTTCTATGTTTAGCTAAAATTTATGTTTTAGAAAGTTACATTTTAATAACGCAAAGGTACTCAATCAGTGAGTATGCATCTGAATTTTAATCCCTGTTCTAGAAAGACCCCAAACTAGGTTGTGACTACTGATTAAAATTTATAGCTCTCAGTGATTGTCGTATGGCTGGTCACAGTATAAAATAATTATTTGTTCGAGAGGCCGCTGCACGGCTCCTGGATTTGCTCTTCTTATATTTTCTCTCTCTTCCTCCACCAGTCTGACCTTTGGCCTTTCACCTTCTCTATATAACAAAACATAATAGGATAATCAATAACTGTCTAGTTTTTGTGTTAGACAACTAGTTACAGGCAGAAGAGATGAGGTCATCCTACAGAAACATAGCTTCAGGGAATCTGATCCTATTGAAAAATGAGCAGAGAGTACTCAAGGAAGATTGGGCATACAGATAATCTAATATATTACAGAATTTTACTAAAATTTTCCTAGAATAAGATATAAAGCCCATGAAATAAGCTATAGCAGAACAAAACTTCAACTCATGGCCACATTTGATAAATTCAGCAAAGCAATAAAGATACCCTTTTCTCCCATTTTTTTATGTAGAAGGATTGAAAATACATGGATAGATTAAATATAGAGACCCAGAAACAGGTGAGTAAGTTTGGATATATTCACAGCCCCCCTCTTAAGGAGTCATTTTGATATTATTAACTAAAATTATACTCATTCTATATAAGAAAGAGGTGAAGGTTTATTCATATTGAACAACGCATTCAAATGCATTCTGGATTTTAACATTCTATGTTGAGCACCTACCACAGGAACTATTAAGCAAAACAGATGGTTCAACAATTGAAAAGAAAAGACATCCTTAAATACCTCCTGGAAGAGGAGGATCTGGATAACTTCTAACAACACTGATGCTATTCAAAATATACCTAGGGTTTTCAAATAATGTGCCATAAGAACATGAACATGTTAACTACAAATAAGGTAATATATATAATCTCTCATTATGTAGTGAATTTAATATAATGTTGGGGAAAAACAATGACCAGCACTCCATAAATAATATTTAGTAGAATATCAATATCTCAAGTTATAAATACATATTCTAAGGTACAGGTGTTTTATAGTTAAGTGTTTTAACATTAAATAAGAAGTAATGTCTGCCCACCTATGTATTAAAAGAAAATCTTCAAACAAAGTTATAGCAACAAATTACATTTTAAAACGTCAGCATTTGACAAATTTATCTGTTCAGAGAAATTGTTTTTTTCAAATTGTCTATTAAAATCCCAATGGATCAATGTTTCATTACACTGATGTATGTATAGAATTTCTCAGAACCAGGAAGCTCAAAAGGGAGTCTATGTAGGGGTTTCTTATATCATGCTGGGCACTTAGGCATATTCTTACTATGTTAACCATTCCCAACGGCACAGCCCTCTGGATGTCACACAGAAACCAAGTGCAAATCATCAGCCTCATTGTTAGCAATAAACAATGCTGATAAGCTGGTACAAACTGCCTTGAAACTCCTGAGATCCATGCTCATAAAGCAACACTACTTTCAGCACATTTGACTCCAAGCCTAGGGATTAGAGTCATGCAGGTGCATTTCTCATTTCAATGGATCAGTTCTGGCTAATTCCAGGCCTGAATTCCAACCCTAACACCAGAGGCACATAATCGGATATCTGTGTGTGTTTGTGTGTAAAATGTGTGCATGTGTGTGTGTGTTGAATGAATGAATAACTACCTCTAGCTTTTCCTTAAAAACCTGGTTTGAAATTTTAATCCTAATTACCTCCAAATAGAAAATAAACATAGCTGTATTTCATTCTAGTGGCAGAGATGACCAACTATCCACCAAAACTTGTACTTCCCCTGCCATAGATCAGTGCCTTGATCTTTTTGGGCTGCTAGTACAAAGCACCATTAACTGAGTAGTTTATAAACAACAGAAAATTATTTCTCAAGTTCCGAAGACTGGAAGATCAAGATCAAGGCACCTGTGGATTCACTGTCGCGTTGTGAGGGCCAGTTTCCTGTTTTACAGATGGTGCCTTCTCACTGTGTTCTCACAGGATGGAAGCGGTAAGGCAGCTCTCTGGTGCCCCTTTTATAAAGGCACAAATCGTATTTATAAGGGCTCTACCCTCATGACCTACCCACCTCCCAAAGGCCACACCTACTAATAGCATCAACTGGGTATTAGATCTCAATACATGAATTTTGTGGGGAAACAAATATCCGGCATTACTGAGTACTCGTTGGGAAGCAGCTGCCAATCCTAGGGGTACAGTTTCAAATCCTCACCAAAGTCATGCGAGAGAAAGTGAGTTATATATTGTTTGTAGGCTGAGTGAATTAAGAAGCAGGCATGGCTTCCCACTATATGTTCTTCCCTTTACTTTTCACCTTCAGAGGACCCGGAGGCCCTAGCGGGTGGGCAGATCATAAGATGGAAACTGACACTGACTAGGAACACCCACATTGTGCAGTTACATGTGCGAGAAATGTGCTAAATCTATTGTGCTGAATCACTGAAATGTTGGGCTTTACTACTTATGGGGGCCAGTGTTCCTTAGACAATACTATTCCTATTTCAAAAAGACAACAATAAAAATGAGACTATACTACTCAGTTACTCTCTGATGATTACATTTCACTCTCTATATTTGCAGAATTGCAGCACAATGCTTTTTCATTTAATAATATGTAAATTTCAATTCAGTAATCTGTTTTTATAATAATTTGTTGGACACATGTCACATATTCTTCTCTTGATATAATTTGTTTTATTTAATTGTAACATTATTATTTGCTTGTGCATGTGTGCTACATTTAATGCATTTAAGACATTTTACAACATAAGCTGAACGAAAAGTCTCGTATTTCTATATCTATGCTTTGTATGTTGCCTACCAACAAAACATTAAAAATTGATTTTTTAACTTTTTTGAAGCACATTTTAACCTTGGATTTCTCTGTGTCCTAATTATAAATATTCATTTTATGTGACACAGAGTTTGAAAGGCATTACTAATCTATATTACATTTTTCTCTAAATACTCCAGGAAAATATTAAGTCTTGCACAAGCTGCATAAAATTTTCTGTTGATTTGGAGAGATTTACATATTATATGTTTATCATTATTACCTGTTTTGGTCATTTTTGAATTGGATATTTATTTTATGAAGCAACCAGTACTTAATTAATTGTGCATAAACCAGTAACTCCACACAGCTCTGTAATTACACAACATATAATTTGTTATAAATAAACACTACTACTAGGTTCTCAGTAAGGTTACTTTATTACAGTAATTTTTATTGTTTAATATAGTACCCAACATTTAAACCTAACTTTTAAATATTCAGTAAAGCATTGCAAATTATTCATCATCAAATCGGTCTTTTTAAATTTATTTATTTTTACTTTTTATTTATTTATTTTAAGACAAGCTCTGGTTCCATCACCCAGGCTGGAGCACAATGGCATGATCATGGCTCATTACAGCCTTGACCTCCTAGGCTCAAGCAATCCTCCCAACTCAGCCTCCTGAGTAGCTGAGACTATAGGCCACATCTGGCTAACTTTTTTATTTTTATTTTTTGTAGATATGGAGATTCACTATTTTATCTAGGCTGGTCTCAAACTCCTGGGCGTAAGCAATTCTCTCACCTCAGCCTCCCAAAGTGCTGGGATTACAGGCATGAGCAACCACGCCTGGCGTCTTTTACTTTTAGATAACTGTTATACATTCTTTAATAAATGCTCATAATCTTAGTAAAGTTTTTTGTATCTCTAGCACTGCTTTTTTTCTCTAAAATTAGTATGACAATTTGATGCATATAATTTAATCACTTGAATGAAATAACCTGTTTAATATTTTATCAAAAAGGAATGTAAATGTGCATGTTATAAATGTTTTAGATACCCCAAAAATAACGTTTTAATAGAATAAAAGTGATACACCTTTAACATCCACTCCTTGTATTACTTTTTAAAAGTGTTCCTATTTTCTTCATTTTATTCATATCTGTGCTACTCCTTCCCTAAAGACATTCAGTAATGAGATTCTGTTAAAGGTGGTAACAAAATCATTTCTGCTAAAGAGGAATACCAATCAAAATTTTTGTACATGCATTCTAGTTTCAAAAATTATCTGTCAAATAAAATTGCAGTGCTTATAAATCTAGCTAGTACCAAATTTTGAATGACAATGCATCAATCATACGAAACATTAGTGTTTTGTTTTGTTTTGGATCATTTTACTTTTGCATCACAGTACATGCTAAATTCACCTTCATCTCCAGGATCTTTTTTCTTTCAGTAGAAGTAGAGAAAGTTGAGTGGTTTTTGTATATTTTGGCCAAATTAAGTTGAATTCTCTTTGTGAACAAAATCTACAAATAGGGGCCAGGCACAGCGGCTAACGCCTGTAATTCCAGCACTTTGGGAGGCCGAGGTGGGTGGATCACTTGAGGTCAGGAGTTTGAGACCAGCCTAGCCAATATGGTGAAACCCCATTGCAAAAAAAAAAATACAAAAAAAAAAAAATTAGTCGGGTGTAGTGGCGCGTGCCTGTAATCCTAGCTACTCGGTAGGCTGAGACAGGAGAATCACTTGAACCTGGGAGGTGGAGGTTGCAGTGAGCTGAGATCGCCCCACTGCACTCCAGCCTGGGTGATAGAGCAAGATTCCGAAAAAAAAAAAAAAAATTCCACTAATAGGAATTCTCTTTGTGAACAAAATTCACAAATACGAATAAAATAGTTCTGGGTAATATCTTTTTAATTCACAAACATATATTGAAAAGAAAAGTAAAATTAGGGATACTTAAAGCAGATTGGAGACTCACTAATAATTATACAGCTTTCTATATGAATTAAGTCCTGGAGTAAAGAACTGCTGAGAGAAAAATCTTGGAAGTGGTTGTTCTTATTTCTTCAGTGGAGAAATGGCTTATGTTTACCTTCAGAATTGGTACAGCGAATTCAGTATGGTTATCTCTCTCCGGAAAAAAAATTAAAATGTATGACTATCTCTATTAACATCTGTGAATTGCTCCAGAAGTAGACGATCAAAACAAAATCTCTCCCAACAACTTGAGGGTGGTATTAATTAGCTATGTGGTTTAGGTTTTTCTAATTGATAATTTATATGTTTATTGTTATTTTTAAGTATAGTGAATAATAAGATTTTAAAGGAAAATTCTTTTTGCTCTTTTTTTGAGACAGAGTCTTGCCCTGTCGCCCAGGCTGGAGTGCAACGGCGCGATCTCAGCTCACTGCAACCTCCACCTTCGAGATTCAAGCGATTCTCCTGCCTCAGCCTCCCGAGTAGCTGGGATTACAGACGCCCACCACCATGCCCAGCTAATTATTTGTATTTTTAGTGCAGACGGGTTTCACCATGTTGGCCAGGCTGGTCTCAAACTCTTGACCTCGTGATCCGCCCACCTTGACCTCGCAAAGTGTTGGGATTACAGGCGTGAGCCACCGCGCCCAGCCGAAAGGAAAATTCTTTACTGAGCACAGACGTAATAGTGAGTAACAGGAATTAAACATCAATTGCACTCATGGTCTGCAACAACCTTGGTTCTTAATGTCAGCAGCCAAATTCTAATGATTCCACTTTTGAGTCCAGAGGCACAATAGCCTGGAGGAATATGGAGTGATTGAAAGAGGTAGAGTTAGGAAGAGCAAGTCTGGACTCCAAATTGGATTTCCCAAAAGACTTTAATAAAACCAATAGAATAGAACAATAACGAAACTTAAAAGTTACTAAGAAGAGGTTCCCATTATTCGTAGTTTTGAGCAATTTCAGACATCTTCTTCTGCAATAGTTGCAATATAATTTAATTCCCTAGAAGGCTTCAACAAATCATTCTAAAAAACCAAATAGTAATTCTAAAAAGTAAGAAGAAAAAGCTGTACTTTGTGAACTGAATAAAAGTAACACATATGATATCTTTTTGTTTTACAATGGCTGAGCCATAATGTATTCATATAGGTAAAGTCGTCTATTTAACCCTGAATTGAGTTAAATATAAATTGATAAAGACATTCAATCATAAATTCACAAAATATGGTAGCACCAAGGCGAACAAATTAATATTAGTATTATTAATCTGCAAAATTTTATACTATCAATGGCACCAGGCCAACAGCATTTTATGACTTAGTCTTTTTACAACCACTAAGCCTACCACTTTAAAAGCTTCTATGAGACCAGGCAGGATGGCTACGCCTGTAATCCCAGCACTTTGGGAGGCCGAGGCGGGGGGATCATTTGAGGTCAGGAGTTTGAGACCAGCCTGGTCAACATGGTGAAACTCCATCTCTACTAAAAATACAAGAAAATTAGCCAAGCGTGGTGGCACATGCCTGTTATCCCGGCTACTCAGAAGGCTGAGGCCAGAGAATCACTTGAACCCGGGAGGCAGGGATTGCAATGAGATGAGATCAGGCCACTGCACTCCAGTATGAGCAACAGAGTGAGACTCTGTTTCAAAAATAAATAAATAAATAAATAAAACAAAAAAAGCTTCTATGAGAAAAATCATACTTTGATTAGTTTTTAATTTAAATGTGAAGATGTATAGGAAAGACTTCAGAAATTATGAAGATCAAAATAAATGTAAATTACTTATTATTGTTATATATTATTGATATTCCTACAAGTAATGCTTTTAGCACTCTCTTTTTTACTAAATCATTACAATGGTCATGTTATATAACAATAAATATCAAAGTTTTTTATTCTTACCTAATGTTACCTAAATTTTGAATTTGGTATGAGTTTGTTGGGGAATATTACAAAATGGTAGATGAACAGCAATAAAAATTACAATTATCTATAATTTTTAATACTATGCCAAAATGAGTGTATGCAATTATATTTGATTATTTGTTAAAATAATAAAATACTGGAAACAACAAAGTTGAATTTCTTCATCTCAAAGATAGTAGTTCTAAAACTACATTTTCAGTTAATAATTCAACAGATGTATGTCCACCACCAATTACTATGAGATTTACTATGAAGTCAAGAAAGAATTATGTGATTGAAAAAATACTAAATTAAGTTCAGAAGATATGGATTCTGATTTGCTTAGTAACCAGCCATAAAATTCTGCTACATTTACTTAGATTCTTGATGTCTCTGTTACCTCATTCATTTGTTCATTGAACAAATGCCTTTTAAATAATTATCTTTGACAGGCACTGATCTGGGAAGTGAGGTTTGTATTAGGATGACTTCTAAGGTCCTCTTTAACTCCAGCATTCCTATAGAGCTAAATAGAGTTTAATAGGACTAGTCAATAATCAGATAAGGGAATAGTAATACTAGATTTTCCCTAGTCTTTCCCAACTCTCTGATACTCTACTTAATCCTACTCATAGGAAGCTCTGGGCTATCCATTTCATTTGTTACCTTATCCATATTTGTGATAAAATTTACTTGTCTTTTATCAAAAGGCCATCTCTGAAATTATCTTAATATGTGTTAAGGATTGCTACATTATTTCTCCACATAACATTTTTATCATTAGCAATTGCTTCAAATTGCTTTAGATATCCTTATGGTAGGTGAACTTATTCGAATGTACAGAATATGGCATTTTTTTAAATGGCAGCAGAGAGTAATTCTGCAAAGCCTTAATAATGATAATTTTTTTTCATACATTTGGAGAGAGGTATGCTCTCAGTCCCAGGATATGGTACAGATAGTAAGTGTCTGGGTAAAGGTAGTGCAGGGTTCAGTGTAGTGCTCAGTTCATTACAGGCTGCGCTTGGCTTATGGGAACCAAAGCTAAGACAATATTTATTAAATTTTAATAAAATAGCAAATGCAAACTAGGATTTGTAGATCTATTTGCATAACATCTTTTAATCTATTAACTACCATGTTGTAATAATACTTTAAGAAATCCGTATAAAAGTAAGTCCAATTGTAATTAAACTATAAGCCATAAAGCAACAAATTATGACTGTTTTTCTTTTGCATTATACCTGTGAATCAAACTAGAAGTCAGTGATGTACAATATATCAAAAAATTTCATGAATCATGTCACCCACGATTGAGAGTTCTTTGGGAAAATACATTACTCTTTTGTGAAGAGTAGTGTATCATATTTTCTCAAAGAATTCTCACACTTCTCTGTGTATAGGCCATAAAATATTTGATGGCTATGAAGAAAACTCATGGTGGTTAAATTCCTAGGATCAGAAGGTCAAAAGATGCTTGAGACATTTACTTTTGAAGTATTCAAACTGGATCATACTAGAACCATCATTTAATGTACTCTTAAAATAAGTATAAATATTTTATTTTTAAAATACATTACTATTTCCCTCTGTTAAACAAACTAATAAGAATTTTAAAAATCAAAAATAATAAACATTTTTGTTATTTTTTTCATTAATCATGTTACCTATTTTCTTCTTCCTTTAAAAGCTAGATCTACTTTTCTTTTCATATCTTTCAGCACTATGCCCAAGGATATATTTATCTTCCTCTTTCAACTTTAACAAAAGCCCCCACGTATTTTGTAACCATAGTTATGAAAGAAAAGTATTGTTTCTCAAAATCTTGGGCAACTGAATATGGCACTTTAAGATATAATGTTTTCCAGATATGATAGAACCATCTTCTTGCCTTAATGGCCTTTTTCTTAGGAAGTTGTTTGATTTGTTATCCTAGTAGTTTTCAGTAAGCCTTCATCAGAAGTATGTTATTTAAGGTTCTGTTTATTTATAATTTATTCTCTTGCTGCTTTCTGCTCTCACACAATTTTTGCATGCATCTCTCTGAAGCTGCCTTTCATTCTACCTTCTATTTACATTATTTTGATAAATGTCTCATCCATTTTACGTTAATCCAAATAAGCTCTCTGGAGTTAGGTATGCTGTTTTTCCTTTATCTTTGTGTACTTGAGCAAATATACTTCTCCATAATCTGTGTATATTCACTGTTAATACCTGAGTTTTATACACCCTGATGTTTGGTAAAGAGAATTTACTAACCCCTTGGTTCGTTCTATATCTTTCATTTTGTACATTTTTAAAATGCCCTTTTATTGCATTTATATGTGCTCTAAAATATGTTTATGTGGCTTTCAAAATCATTTACCTCAAATTTTAATTTCAATAATCTGTACCTACCATCAGAAAAATATTATTCTAACAAATCTAAGTTATCTAAATTACATTTAAGGTACTTCATTTTTTACCTCATTTTAACCTGAGATAAAAAGTTCCAGGTTAATATTAAAATTAATGTATTTTTTGTTCCATTCCCCACTCATTCTTTCTTCTAAATTGAAGTTATTAGATTGTTTATTTTTCCTATTAGATTTTTATGCGATTTTTAATGCATTTAATTGACTGTTTCCTGTCTGTATTTGTAAAGTTCAGTGTTATAAAGCATATTTGATAAATATCCAGATTATAACAATGTTATTTTACCATGGTAGCTACATCTACCTAGAAAGCCAATTACTGTGCAATAAAAAATTTGGCCTTTGTCCTTGGTTCTTGGGAAGTGGCCTTTAAATCCTTGGAATTTCTCATATGATAGGAGTGTCATTATTATTCACGGTGAGCCCTGACAGTTTATGCTAAAGAGATGATTCAGTACGGGGGCTGGCCATGACAGAAAGACCAACCTGTAATTAGAGTGTTGGGGTTTTAAGACACTTTACACTTTATACCAGCCTTACCTCTGGGAACAGAGGGTGCTGAAGGTTGAGTTCGATCATGTAATCAATGATTCAATAAATTATGCTTATGTTATGAAACCCCAATAAAAACCCTGGACATAAAAGGTGAGGTGAGCGTCCCTGGTTGGCAATATTCTGTATGTTTTCACACCAATATCCCACCAGTTATCACACCAAGATGTCAGGAAATTAATGTGTAATGACTTCACAGGGGAGGACATAGAAACTTCATGTTTGAAAAACCTCCGAGACCTCACCCTATGTGTTTCTTCTTTTGAGTGGTTCTGATATATATGCTTGGGCTGTAAAAAAATTTTGATAATCTGCCTGAGTTCTGTGAGTTGTTCTAGTGAATTTTGAGGTGGGGTAAGGGAAACATCAGGTTTTGTGGCCAATTGGCCCGAGGTGCAGGTGGCACTAGGACTCTGGAACTTGTGACTGGTGTCTGAAGTGAGGGCAGTCTTGTGGAGGACAATGCCTTTAACTTATGAAGTTCACTCTAACTCTGTTAGTGTCAGAAATTACTGCTCTAATTAAATGTATATCTGCATATAATTACAATCTCCAACAGGATAAATAAGTATTGCACACCATTATGTAGATCAGAGTTTTCAATTTCAGCATTATTGACATTTGGAGCTAGACAATTCCTTTTTGTTTGTGTGAAGGGCCATCACATTATAAGGATGCTGCTAAATATTGAGTGTCTTGAGAACCAATGATTTACATACAAATGCCTTAAAAACAGGAACATAGAAATTCACATATGGAAATAATTTGGTATGTAACATTGGTGGAAATCAATAAATGAATATATGTAATACGTATACTCATCTCATATAAATATGTATTTCTAGAGAAATGTCCAGTTATTTCACTGTCATTATCAGCTTTCTTTTCAATAGCACAGCATCTTCATCACACCTAGAATATAGATTCTCTAGTATTTTGCATAGATTATGCAACAAATGTTTTGTATTTCTACTGTTTTCCCTAAAGTTATGTACTGATATATTTTTTCAGGTATTCCAAAAGCTATGTTGTGTTCCCCATTTCCATAGGAAAAAATATATTAAATTAGATTGTAGTTCATAACTTTATACAGTCTAGGATCCAGTAATGGAGGTTATTACTCTTCTCAATGACAAAGATGCTAATTTTTCTATTGTTGGCAGACAGAAGTTTGTACCCAGAGTATACATAATAAAAAATATAATAAAGTAAAATCTTATATAATGAAGGCCATAAAATAATTTAAGTATATTTCAAGATGAATATGAATTATATTGTTTCTTTAATATAACAATTTACCTATTTAAATCCTAAGAGCATCCAATAGTTCAAAATTCATCATTGATCTTGTATTAGTCCTTTCTTATACTGCTATAAAGAAACACGTGAGATTGGGTAAATTATGGAGAAAAGAAGTTTAATTGACTCACAGTTCCACAAACTTAACAGGAAGCATGACTGGGAGGCCTCAGGAAACTTACAATCATGGCAGAAGGCAAAGGGAAAGTAAGCACATCTTACCATGGCAGAGCAGGAGAGAGAGAGAGAGGGAGGGAGAGAGCTAAGGGAGAAGTGCCACACAGTTTCAAACAAGCAGATCTCCTGAGAACACACTATCATGAGAATAGCAAGGGTGAAGTTCGCCCTTATGATTCAATTACCTTCCACTCCCCTTCCCCATGGGTTTACAATTCTACATGAGATTTGGCTGGGGACACAGAGCCAAACCATATCAGATCTGATTTTTTAAAGTTCTCTTAATAACTTCTCTTTGACTAATGTTAATTAAATAAATTATTCCTTGTAACCTGGACATATTCAAAAAGGAATTGAAGCAGTTTAATATACATACTATAAGACTAAAACATTAATTGGAGAAATTATACATCAATGAGAAGAAAGAATATTTTGAGGGCTTTTCAGAGGAAACAAAATAATGTGGTAAAGCAAAAAGATGTGAGAAAATTATCAATGGATAAGAACATTAAATACTAAAAGTTATGAGAAATCCAAACATCTTTATTTAGTGGCAGAGAAAATAACAGAAAGTTAACAGTTTTGATACTTTTATACATGTACAATGGAATTGAGCTACTAAGTAAAATAAAGATGGATGGTGGGAGTGAGGTTTCTCACTGTTGGAGTTGGAGTTTGCAAATAAGGTAGGGAGAAGGCTAAAACAATTTATGCAGTAAGAGATTAGAGTTGAAGAGTATCATGTTTAGCTCAATATAGATTTATGGTTATATATAGAATGATTATATATAGAAATATTTATAAATGGCATATTTATACTTACATATGCATGCCTGTGTATAGATAGATAGATAGGTACATACATATTTTCTTGCTGTCAGTCAAGAGGGCCTGGGAACAAACATATCCTAGTAGCAAAAAGCAAACCTAGCACCCAGATTTTAGCTTCTAATACATTCTCCAACAAAAGGCACAAGGACTCCTTGGAGAAATAGATGATTCTAGGACTGCAGCAGGAAATATACAAGATGAGCCTGGGACATCTTGTATTACCAAAAAATAAGAAAGTGCTTCAAAAAGAAAAAGAAAACACACAATATAATGTCTGTATGCCAAAGGGAAGGAGGAATTAACTGAAAGAGCTCTCATTTGCCAAAACTGGAATAACTGGAGCAAGAAAATAAACAAGTTAGATTAGATTATAACCCAAAATAATATATCCTGGAGTTCATACTGGTATAAATAGATGGTTGAATGAATACATAAATCAGAGAGAAGAAACAAATATCCATGCAGAAGAATTACAAATAATTTGTGAGGAAACTCCATATTCCAGAAGAGGGACCCCAAAATCCTTACTCCTTAAAGTATCACCATTCACACCCCACCTTATGCTCCGCATATATTAGTTTGCTTTAAGTACTAATCTATGACACATATAATCCTGACTCACCATTCCTAAAACCTGACATAGCAATAATAGTATAAAGCTAGTAGTTTTATGGCCCTTTTTGGTCTTATAAAACACTTTCATTAATATCACATTCAAACTTTGCAATAAATCTGTATAGTAGGAAACGTTTTTACTACTTTGCAGAAAAGTGATTAAAGTTTTAAAAGTCCTCTGTGTATCTGATTTAGCCATGACATAGAACTAGCTATTCTGACTCCATATTTAGTACCATTTCTACAATGTCTCTCAAATCCACACCTTGATAAAATCCACCTTCAATATGTTTAGGCCACAGCACCTATAAACATCAACATATACTTAAAGTTTCAGAGACACACATTCCTAAAAGCAAATGAACATTTAAATACACATTCCTCTATATAACTAAGTTCATTCTCATTGGTTTCAAAGAAGATCTTTATTTCTGCCTTCATTATTTACCCAGTAGTCATTCAGGAGCAGGTTGTTCAGTTTCCATGTAGTTGTGTGGTTTTGAATGAGTTTCTTCATCTTGAGTTCTAGTTTGATTGCACTGTGGTCTGAGACACTATTTGTTATTATTTCTGTTCTTTAGCATTTGCTGAGGAGTGTTTTACTTCCAATTATGTGGTTAATTTTAGAATAAGTGCAATAGGGTGCTGAGAAGAATGTATATTCTGTTGATTTAGGGTGGAGAGTTCTGTTGGTATCTATTAGGTCCGCTTGATCCAAAGCTGAGCTCAAGTCCTGAATATCCTTGTTGATTTTCTGTCTTGTTGATCTGTCCAATATTGGGTGTGGTGTCAACGTCTCCCACTATTATTGTGTAGGAGTCTAACTCTCTTTGTAGGTTTCTAAGAAATTGCTTTATGAATCTGGGTGCTCCTGTATTGGGTGCATATATATTTAGGATAGTTAGCTCTTCTTGTTGTATTGATCCCTTTACCATTATGTAACGCTCTTCTTTGTCTCTTTTGATCTTGTTGGTTTAAAGTCTGTTTTATCAGAAGTTAAGACTGCTTTTTTTCTTTTTTTTTTTTTGCTTTCCATTTGCTTGATAAATATTCCTCCATGCCTTTATTTTGAGCCTATGCGTGTCTTTCCACATGAGATGGGTCTCCTGAATATAACACACTGATGGGTCTCGACTCTTTACCCAATTTGCCAGTCTGTGTCACAATGTACCAGAATCTCTGGGACACATTCAAAGCAGTGTGTAGAGGGAAATTTATAGCACTAAATGCCCACAGGAGAGAGCAGGAAAGATCTAAAATCGACACTCTAACGTCACAATTAAAAGCACTAGAGAAGCAACGGCAAAAAAAAAAAAAAATGCAAAATCTAGCAGAAGACAAGAAATAACTAAGATCAGGGCAGACCTAAAGGAGATAGAGACACAAAAAACCCTTCAAAAAATTAATGAATCCAGGAGCTGGTTTTTTGAAAGATCAACAAAATAAACAGAACGCTAGCTAGACTAATAAAGAAGAAAAGAGCGAAGTATCAAATAGACACAATAAAAAATGATATAGGGGATATCACCACTGATCCCACAGAAATACAAACTACCATCAGAGAATACTATAAACACCTCTACGCAAATAAAATAGAAAATCTAGAAGAAATGGATAAATTCCCGGACATGTACACCCTCCCAAGTCTAAACCAGGAAGAAGCTGAATCCCTGAATAAACCAATAACAAGTTCTGAAATTGAGGCAGTAATTAATAGCATACCAACCAAAAAAAGTCCAGGACCATACGGATTCACAGCCACATTCTACCAGAGGTACAAAGAGGAGCTGGTACCATTCCTTCTGAAACTATCCCAAACAATAGAAAAAGAGAGACTCCACCCTAACTAATTTTATGAGGCCAGCATCATCTTGATACCAAAACCTGTCAAAGAAACAACAACAAAAAAAGAAAATTTCAAGCCAATATCCCTGATGAACATTGACACGAAAATCCTCAATAAAACACTGGCGAACCTAAAACAGCAGCATATCAAAAAGCTTATCCACCACGATCAAGTTGGCTTCATCCCTGGGATGCAAGCCTGGTTCAACATATGCAAATCAATAAATGTAAGCGAACACATAAACAGAATCAATGACAAAAACCACATGTTTATCTCAATAGAAGCAGAAAAGGCCTTCAACAAAATTCAACAGTGCTTCATGCTAAAAACTCTCAATAAACTAGGGATTGATGGGACGTATCTCAAAATAATAAGAGCTATCTATGACAAACCCACAGCCAATATCATACTGCATGGGCAAAATCTGGAAGCATTCTCTTGAAAACTGGCACAAGACAAGGATGCCCTCTCTCACCACTCCTATTCAACATAGTATTGGAAGTTCTAGCCAGGGCAATCAAGCAAGAGAAAGAAATAAAGGGTATTCAGATAGGAAGAGAGGAAGTCAAATTGTCTCTGTTTGCAGATGACATGATTGTATATCTAGAAAACCCCATCAACTCAGCCTAAAATCTCCTTAAGCTGATAAGCAACTTCAGCAAAGTCTCAGGATACAAATCACTGTGCAAAAATCACAAGCATTCCTATACACCAATAACAGACAAACAGAGAGCCAAATCATGAGTGAACACCCATTCACAATTGCTACTAAGAGAATAAAATACCTAGGAATCCAACTTACAAAGGATGTGAAGGACCTCTTCAAGGAAAACTACAAACTACTGTTCAAGGAAATAAGGAAGGACAAAAGCAAATGGAAAAACATTCCATATTCATGGATAGGAAGAATCAATATTGTGAAAATGGCCATACTGCCCAAAGTAATTTATAGATTCAATTCTATCCCCATAAAGCTACCACTGAGTTTCTTCACAGAATTTCAAAAAACTATTTTAAATCTCATATGGAACCAAAAAAGAACGTGTATAGCCAAGACAATCCTGGGCAAGAAGAACAAAGTTGGAGGCATCACGCTACCTGACTTCAAATTATACTACAAGGCTACAGTAACCAAAACAGCATGGTACTGGTACCAAAACAGATATATAGACCAATGGAACAGAACAGAGCCCTCAGAAATAACACCACACATCTACAACAATCTGATCTTTGACAAACCTGACACAAACAAGCAATGAAGAAATGATTCCCTATTTAATAAATGTTGTTGGGAAAACTGGCTAGCCATATGCAGAAAACTGAAACTCACATCTTATACAAAAATCAACTCAAGATGGATCAAAGACTTAAATGTTAGACCTATAACCATAAAAATCCTAGAGGAAAACCTGGGCAATACCATTAAGGACGTAGCCATGGGCAAAGACTTCATGTCTAAAACACCAAAAGCAATGGCAACAAAAGCCAAAGTTGACAAATGGGATCTAATTAAACTAGAGAGCTTCTGCACAGCAAAAAAAACTATCATCAGAGTTAACAGGAAACCTACAGAATGGAAGAAAATTTTTGCAATCTACCCATTTGACAAAGAACTAATATCCAGAATCTACAAAGAACTCAAACAAATTTACAAGAAAAAAACAAACAACCCCATCAAAAAGTGGGCAAAGGATATGAACAGACACTTCTCAAAAGAAGACATTTATGCAGCCAACAGACATATGAAAAAATGCTCATCATCACTGTTCATTAGATAAATGTAAACCAAAACCACAATGAGATAACATCTCACGCCAGTTAGAATGACGATCATTAAGAAGTCAGGAAACAATAGATGCTGGAGAGGATCTGGAGAAATAGAAATGGTTTGACACTGTTGGTGGGTGTGTAAATTACTTCAACCATTGTAGAAGACAGTGTAGCGATTCCTCAAGGATCTACAACTAGAAATACCATTTGACCCAGCAATCCCATTACTGGGTATACACCCAAAGGATTATAAATCATTCTCCTATAAAAACACATGCACACGTATGTTTATTGCAGCACTATTCACAATACCAAAGACTTGGAGCCAACCCAAATGTCCATCAATAATAGATTGGATAAAGAAAATGTGGCACATATACATCATAGAATACTATGCAGCCATAAAAAAGGAGAAGTTCATGTCCTTTGCAGGGACATGGATGAAGCTGGAAACCATCATTCTCAGCAAACTATCACAAGAACAGAAAACCAAACACCACATGTTCTCACTCATAAGTGGGAGTTGAACAATGAAAGCACATGCACATAGGGAGGGGAACATCACATACCGGGGCCTCTCAGGGCCTCGGGGGTTAGGGGAGGGATAACATTAGGAGAAATACCTAATGTAGGTGACAGGTTGATGGGTGCAGCAAACCACCATGGCACGTGTATACCTATGTAACAAAACTGCACGTTCTGCACATGTACCACAGAACTTAAAGTATAATGAAAATTTAAAAAAAAAATTTTTTACACTAAGCTCAAAGTGAATTACAATCACATATACATATCCAACACATATAACTTTTCCTAAAAACACATGGAGATATACAGATGAGTATAAGTGATACATACATGTGTGTACATATGCACACATTTACACAGACACACACACACACATATATATATAATATTGATCTTGACATAGATGGTCCTTTTGAATGAAATACATATATTTTTAGGTCTTTTATCTGCCTTTAAAATGTTTCATGTTTATGCTTCACATTAAAAGAGTTTCATGTATTATTTTATTTTTATTTATTATTTATTTATTTATTTATTTATTTTAAGACGGAGTCTTGCTCTTGTCACCCAGGCTGGAGTGCAATGGCACGATTTCTGCTCACTGCAATCTCCGCCTCCTGGGTTCAAGCGATTCTCCTGCCTCAGCCTCCTGTGTAGCTGGGATTACAGGTGCCCACCACCAGGTCCAGCTAATTTTTGTATTTTTAGTAGAGATGGGGTTTCACCATGTTGGCCAGGCTGGTCACGAACTCCTGACCTCAGGTGATTCACCCGCCTCAGCCTCCCAAAGTGCTGTGATTACAGGCATGAGCCACCACTCCCTGCCTTATTTTATTTTTATAGAAAAATTTTATGCCCCTCCATTTTATAGATGACAGAACAGCTTCTTTAGGGAAGCTATTTGCTTATAGACATCCATTCAAATCTTTAGCCCAGTATTCTTTATATATATAGGGAAATCAAATGATAAATAATTGTAAAACAGCATGGATAGAATATGTTTAGTCAGAAAAACAAACGTAAGAATTAATAGTTCTTAAAAGTCTTGTAACCTATAAATATTCAGCCTACTGCAAACACTTTTCCACTAGAATGACTATAGACATCAAAAGTGCAATTGTATTGGAAATTATTTTAGCTTGGACTGAGTTTACCAACCATCTCACATCCTCCGATAGTAAAGCAAAAAAAGCAGATTTGTTTTTTCTTACTTAGTATTTGAACCAACAAAAAAAAAAAAGGAAAAGAAAAAGCAACTAATTTCAGGTGTATCAATTTATAGACACTTAACAAACTGTCCATTACAGCTTTTATTTATTTATTTATTTATTTATTTATTTATTTATTTATTTATTATACTTTAAGTTTTAGGGTACATGTGCACAATGTGCAGGTTAGTTACATATGTATACATGTGCCATGCTGGTGCGCTGCACCCACTAACTCGTCATCTAGCATGGGTACCGGGTTCATCTCACTAGGGAGTGTCATTACAGCTTTTTGTAAGCAAAATAATTTACAGCAAAAATGTGGTATTTCTATTCAATATTATATGTATATACTAATATCAATGTAAAATTCATTTTGCTAAAAATTGTTCAACTACATCTTCAAATTGTATTGTATGCTTACTCAGGAAGTTCAAATCACAGTACTTTTGCTTACTGTTTTACTGAAACTGAACCTGCTCTTAAAGAGCCTTGGCATCAGAGCCTTGATGGCATTACTGACTGCAATATCCTTATTATCTTCAAGATTTTTCTCTTACTTATACTTTACTCTCCTTACAATCTTTCATAGAGGTAAAAAAACCAACAACTTTAAAAAAATCTGAAGTCTAGCAGTCTCTATTTGTTGAAAAGATACTGCTGAGAACATGAAAGGCTGGTATCTTTCTCACTGATTGAACAAAAGCAGGACAGGTTTTCAGGGTCCAATTTTTTCTTTCTTCCAAGTCCTTCATTCTGTGTCAATGCTTTGAAAACCTTCAGGTTCAGAGCAATTGTTCTTCAAGTCACCTTTTTCCAATTTGAGTGATGTAGGGTAGGAGGCCCTTTCTATAAAAGGAAATATTGGTTATAATTCACTTTGGTCTTGCCTCATCTTTTTTAATAAAAGCAATAAATGGGTTATAGTAAGCCTATTGGTAAGAAATACAAAAGAAGTAACAATAAGAAGCCAAAATCACGGGTAAAAAAAAGACAGATTCAAAGACAAACATCTTTATTTTCACCACATCTTCTATATTCTTTTCCATCCAAATTATTATAGTACTGGAATATCACTCAATACAATGTGTTGGTTGGGTCCTTGACCTGCTCAAAAGAATTACTAACACATAATGATAGTTTGAAGCAGAATAAAGCAAACTGAAATAACCTAGTTTTATTTTCCATTTATCCTAGGTTCAACATGCACCCAACATGAATGAAAAATCAAATGTTAAATACAAAATGCATGCATTTAAATGTTTTTAGTAAGGAGTTCAATGCCTGGCTTTACAATTAGCCTCCATTACCTGGAAATCTGCCAAATTTGCAAGTTGCAAAATCCAATCCTGCAATTTGTGCCTTAGTTGTGTCTTAGTTTTGCCCTTCCTCATTGTACCTTATTATTTTATTGTGTGAAATTAGGAGTCATCAGAAAACCAGAAACATTCTTAATTAACACATTCAGTGTATTTCAAATATGCATATTATAGTGTAACAATGAAAGGATAATGAAAATGGGGTATTTGATCTATGTTGAAGGAAGAAGACACATGCCCCTCTCAGAGTTAAAAGCACTGGCAAGGGAAGAACCCCACAGATTAGGCACTGGGTTAGATTTGTGGCTGAGAAGGAAAAAGTCCCCCAAGCTTGGGTCCTTAAAAGAGTTTCCTTTATGGTATTGATTGCGATCTTGGGCAAAAAACTAAAACTCATGGAGGAAGGCCCAAAAGAACCTTCTTCTACACCTCTGCATGTCACATACATGGAAAGAGAGAGGAGGAGCAGTAGAAAGGTAAGACTCATACCAAATGTCAAGACATATGGTCTCTCTAACAAAACCCCAGAATTAGTAACTCTTTCCTTAAAGGAAACATGTATCCTCATAATAGAACCTCAATGGCTAGCTAATTTGCAACAGGGAAGCCCTCATTTCTCTCAGCCTCCACAAAAGTGTCTGTTAGAGTACTTCAGGAGCTTTCCGAATAATCTTCTGGGTCAAAACAAGCCAAAATCTTTATTGTATATCCCATAGGTTTAGTGTATTACTTGGCAATGTCAGGCGAGGAGCCACATGTGGCCTGTCGGTTGCACCAAAATGCCAATGAGATTGAAAAAGAACATGCACAAAGGAGTTAAAGTAACATATCTCTGAGATAATTTAACGCACTGAACTCTCTGCCCCTAACTCTCTCACATACAATATTTCTGGTCATGTGGCTCTGTGCAAAACCTAAACACAAATTATACTTTTTGTTCTATCAAGTAAATCTCAAATCAGCTCCTGCTCTGATATGCATTTCTGAAAATTCCAGGTTAATCTCAACTAGTGCTGGGTGTCAGGAGCAGCTGCATCAGGGATATAGCCCAAGCAATATGCATGGTAGTAATGAGTATGTATTGATACTCTTTTTTCTTCTATAAAATGTGCTTGGGACTTTGTATTCATAGTAGTTGTCACAAAGATCTTGCAAAATAAACATAATTTTTTAAAAACAAGGCAAATAAGCTGCACTTTTTGTTGTTTTATATTTGACTTATATACTTGAAAGAGAGAAATATCCTCACATTTTTCTTCTTCTTCTTCTTCTTCTTCTTCTTCTTTTTCTTTTGAGATAAGTTCTCACTCTGTCACACAGGCTGGAGTGCATTGGTGCAGTCATGGCTCACTACAGCCTCAATCTTCTGGTCTCAAGTAATCTTCCCCCCTCAGTCTCCCAATTACCTGCTATTAACAGATGCACAACACCATGCCTGGCTAATTTTTAAATTTTTTGTAGAGATGGGGTCTCACCATGTTGCCCAGGCTAGTCTTGAACTTCTTGGTTCAAGCGACACTCTTTCCTCCACCTCCCAAATTGCTGGGACTACAAGTGTGAGCCACTGTGTCCAGCCTAACTATTCAATATATATGCCACTAACTTTCTATGTCTTTACTTCTCTATTGCCCACTAAACTTTCTTCTTTTCCATAAATTATGCCTACCTAAAATATTTCCTTAAAGAGTTAAAACACAAGACATAGTTTTAGCATATATATTAAATAGGAAAAAAACAAAGCATATACATATACATTACATATACATTATTAACATATACATATACATTAAACATGTAGATAATTATATGTAAGTGCAGGTAACTTTTTTCCTTCACAGCAATGGAAATGGCTCTGCATATGTGTCTGCAACTTGCTCTTACACTTATTTGATCATGGCAATTTCCCTAAGGCAATATGCACACACTGAACTTATTTTACAAAGAAAAAAGTTTACATAATATTTATAGTAGAGATGTATCACAATTTATTTGACCATTCCTCTGCAGAGACACAATTTTGAGATTTCAAATAATGTAATATGCATACGTATCATTGCAGCTCTCCAGGGACATAATCTTAAGTACTGACAAACTGCAAAAGAAAAAGAAATGTTGCAACAATCCAGATTTTCATTAACAGTACAGAAGGAGAGCTCATTTTTCTGTGCTCTTGGCAACACTGACCCTTAACTTTTAAAATTATTTTCATACAAAATAAGTTTAGCCATTTGGCTTTAATTTGCATTTCTTTTATATTTAGAGATGCTGAATATTTTTCATGTATCTTGGGCATTTGTAATGTTGTAATTTTGTAAACTCCCTCAAGTAAACTCTCTTTCTTCTTTTGTTACTTTACTCATTATATATTATTTCACTTTATATTTTTTATTTATTATATATCTCCATTATTTTCTATTGTATTTTGCAGTTCTTTGATGTATTAAGATTTCTTTGTTGCTTATTTTTATTTATTTCAAACGATCAGTGTCCTCTGGCATAGAATGGAAGAGAGGAAATAGCAGGAGTAATATCTTTAAAATATTAGCAACCCATTACATTGGCTAATTGTATGGTTTTTTTTTAAGGCAGTTCATGTTTTAAAACATACTTAATACATATGACACATAAGGCTTCTTTCTTAGCAACTGGCATAACTTAATTTACTTTCAAATTGCATTTTCAACTTTCTTTGGATTTATAAAAAAGTGCATGTCAACAGAGCAGAATTTAAAAGGTGACAAACTGTGAAGAATTAAAACTTCTAATTTAACAGATGAGCAATTGCAAATAACAAAATTGCAGACAAACACAACTTTAATGAAAGGTGACATGCTGGAGATTCTTTTTTTGTCTTGTGCTTTTTCATCAGGTAACAACAAATTAGTTTAGGAAACCATACTAGAATGCTGTGATTGCAATAACCAGCTCATGGCCCATGCTGTTAGCTTTGTTTTTTGTTTGTTTTCTGAAACCATACATGACACTTCTTTTGTGCTAAGTAGATATTTTCTTCACTCAGATGTATCACAAGTTGTTCAAGTCCAGACTAGTTCTATATGTTATTGCTACCTATCTGCTGCTGCTTTATTTATGGTTTCTCCTTTGGAAAGTGTTGTTTTTCTTAGTGTTCAGATCTAGAGAGACCTGCAATGGCCATACAGAGGGATATATGTGAAATATATAACTTCTTTCCCAGGAAGTCACAGTTTGGCTCTCTAAAACCAAGACCCTGTTTAATTCCACCTGTTTGTCTTTTCTGGTATATTTTGCTGTCAATATAACGGGTAGGGGCATAACGTGACATGGATATCTATTTTAATATGGCAACATGTTATGTATTTTTCATAACTGTGAAGGAAAAAGAATTCAGCTTCTTTGCTTATTTAGCAGACAAGTCATTAAAAAGACTACTAAATAGGCATCTGATTGTACCACAAAATGATCTACAAAACAGAACATCTAGCTGATTTTATCTTAGCTATTGATGATATAAAAGCATCTATAATGTTCCTTCTTATCAAGTAAGGAGAAAAAGATATTTTAAAAATTTATTTCCATATGTATTATGAAGCAATAATTTAGGGCTAGCTACATCTCTCATGAGTATCACTAGAGAGCTATTGAACTTTAAATATTAGCAACCTACTATAATAAATGTTCGATTTCAATGTTAATGATTCCTCCATAGCCTATTATTTTAGAAATTTAGAAATTGTTAATACTACTTTATGTGCCAAAAGTCATGGCACACAACCTAATATGCATTATAATACATATATATGCACACACACACACATACATATATGGCACACTGCCTAATATGTGTTGCAACATTTATATATACATACACACATATATGCCTGTGTAAGTTCATATATAGTAATATATATATTACAATATATACCTATAACAATGTTTAACAAATTAATGATCAAGATATCCAGACAATGAAAATCAAGTTACTACCATTATGAAAAGAAACCTGTGTAAATATGTAAATATTAATATTTGTACTTCCTAAGGGAAGACCACACCACCACCTATCAAGTAGACTTTCCCAAGAAAAAGAAATTCTTCCTGATCTTTCCAGTGTACTAGTTTCAACTACTAATAAATAGTGAATATAGATAATGGAACATATTGATCATATGTTAGAACATATTAATCATATCACCAATCAATTCAGAGACACAATCAGTACAATTTAAACTGTAGGAAACATTGTTAATCACATGTCTTAGTTATTTCAACAAATACATTGCAAGGAAAAAAAAGAGATAGGGTGGAAGTCCATAGACAAAGAGATACAAACAACATAACAAACCAAACATACGAGTTTTACTTGAATACTTAGGCAAACAACCAAAAAATATGACATTTATGAGACAATTTGAAATGTGATAATTGACTAGATATTTAATAATATTAGAAATTATAATTAAAGTCTTAATATAGTGTTTTGATAATTTTTAAGAAGTAAATATTAAAATAGTTACTAAGGAATTAACATGAGATATAGAAAGTTTTTTAGTAACATGAAAGGAAGGGAAATGAGTGAAAGTATAGATGAGAAAACACTGGCCATGAGATGCTAATTTTTGAAGCTGGATGATAGGAACATGGAAGCTCTATTTTTGTATATGTTTGAAATAGTTCATAATAAAAAGTTTAAGAATGAAATAAAATTATACATTTGGAATGGTAAAATTGATTTCAATTAGCACTTTACTATAATACAAAATAAACATTGACTATCAAGACATCATAATATATCTCATTCGCTAAAATAAAGGAATACAATATGTTAAGTATTTTAAAAGATTAAATTGATAATTTAACCTTCCCAAAGGCAAAAATTAAATACTACATAACTTTGTAGGCCACACAATTCTTGGCATATAACAGTTACTCAAAAACTCACTTTCATTTATTGATTTTGTTTTGTCATATCAGAATAAGGAGAATTAAACAACATATGCAAGAAACATCTGACAAATCTGAGATGTGTTTTCCATTTAACAATTTTTTAATGTAGGTATAGTGATAAATATGGATACGCATATAGACAGAAAGTTATATTTATGTAATAATAAGTTTTAAATAATTTTCAGTCCGTTTTTAAGAACAATCAGTTAATGTAATTTTTATAATTGATATACTATTACTTTGAAAAAAGTTAATTAAGAAAATAACAATGAGCAAAAGAATTGCGTTGCTAACTTTATCTGGGAATTCCTACTCTAAAAGCCAAGTTTCATTCTCATGTGGCATCATTTATAAAGCACTAACCAAAATAACTACAAATGAGTGAAATATAATGGAAACATGAGTATTGAGCCTGATGCATTTGTGAAAAAGTAAGTTATGTCAGGCAAACTTAATTACTTTCTCAATTGAATTACATAATTAACGGATGAAGTGACTGTAGTAGATGTGATAGATTTATATTTTATAGAGTTGATGCAATGACTAAGAATTATGATTTGAAAAATGGATTGAATTGTCATACATGAGTTGACATTTCTTATTGAAAATGGAAACACCAATTAAATCTGTTGACGAAACGGATAAGGTCTACAAATTAGTAATCAAACCTACTCATAAATTCCCTCTCTTATGAACCTTTAGTAAATGATGATGGCACACTGAGCTCTAACATACCTCTCAAGTTCTCTAAACACAGAAACTGAGACCAAATAATCAAGGAACTCGATTCATTCCAGGGAAAGAAGAAAGCTAAGCTAGTGAGGTCACCTGTGTTCTTATTTCTTCTTTCACTGACTCCTTTTCATCATGTAATTTGGAAATTTGCATACCTCTACCTTTACTGTAACTTATAAAGAAAGAAGTGATAAAAATCAATGTCATTAAATGTTGGTAGTTAAATGCATTATGCCTCACAGAAGTTTTGGTGATATTTATATTTTTAAAAATTATTAATAAAGAAATAAGAGCATATAAATTAGAAAAGAAAAAATAAAACTATCCCTACAAATTATCTTATATAGAAAATTCTAACGAACTCAAACATGCACACACACACACACACACACACACACACACACACACACATCAGAATTAAATGAATACCACAAGGTTACAGGATAAAAGAGCAATAAAAAAAATCAGCTGTATTTTTACACACCAACAATAAAAAATCCAAAATTTCAATTAAGAAAAATGTTATTTACAATAGTATATAACTAATAAAGTAGTTAGAAACAAACAATAAAAAGGGTATGAAACATGTATACCATAAAAGACAAACATTGTTGAAAAAAATTAAAGCAAACCTTAAAAAATGAAGTCATCCCATGTTTATCGATTGAAAGTTTTTTTTGTTTTGTTTTGTTTTTTTTTGAGATGGAGTCTCACTCTGTTGCCAGGATGGAGTGCAGTGGCACGATCTCGGCTCACTGCAACCTCCAACGCCTTAGTTCAAGCGATTATCCTGCCTCAGCCTCCAAAGTAGCTGGAATTACAGCAAGCACCACCATGCCCAGCTAATTTTTTTTTTTTTTTTTTTTTGGTATTTTTAGTAGAGATGGGGTTTCACCATGTTGGCCCAGATGGTCTCAATCTTTTCACCTTGTGATCTGCCCGCCTCAGCCTCCCAAAGTGCTGGGATTACAGGTGTGAGCCACCGTGCCTGGCCAAGAATATTACTAAGATATCAATAGCACAGATTCAATGCACTCCACATGAAAACAGAAGCTGGCATTTTTGCAGAAATTGACAAGCTTATATGAACATTTATGTGGAAATTCAAGAGACCCATAATAGCCAATTAAATCTTGAAAGAGAGGAACAAATTTGACTGACACATACTTCCTAATTTCAAAATGTACTACCAAGCTACAGTACCCAAGATTCCGTGGTACTGGAATAAGGATGAATATAGACCAGTGGAAGAGAACTGAGAGTCCAGAATTAAGTCTTTACATTTATTTTCAAAAAGAGTGCCAAGATAATGAAATGGGAAAAGAATAGTTTTTTCAACAAATTATGTCTGGACAATCGAGTATGTACATGCAAAACCAAGAGATCATTCACTATTGCTGAATGTGCTGATATTAATGACGCAACCGTTATTTTTGGACCAAAAGTTTACTAGAAGTCCTTGACACGCCAAAATAGTGGCATGCCGGGATTTCTGCACTCCTCTGTACAGTGAAAGACATTCTGATGTGCTCACAATCAGGCCTTCTTCCCTAATGTGGGTGCTCTCCACTCTGGTTTTCTAAGACCCTGCTGGATATGTATGGATGCCAGATCAGTAGTTCACTACTAAGGTTTATTGCCTTATTTTCCCTACTGTGAGTTAACATACATTTTGTGTTTGTTCACTCTGTCCTGCATGTAAGAAGAGAAAGCAGTAACAGATTTAGGTTTTCATGATTTATTCACTCATCCATCCATCCATCCATCCATCCATCCATTCATCCATGCAGTCAACAAGCAATGAATACCTTCTCAATACCTTTATAGTATGGCCTCAGAAAAATAAATACGCTAAGGCCATGAAATGGAAATGCCATGAGATCAGGATTTTATCTTTATTTACCATGTGCCCTCACATCTAGAACAGGACTTTAGTGGGCATTCAATATTTGTTAAATGAGTAAAGTTGGCAATATACATTGAGCACTAATACATAAGCCTTATTCTAATTAATTTTCTCTTTTTAAATCTCACAGCAACCTTTTAACAAGTGTACCATTATAATCTCCACTTTGTGCTTGAAGAAACTGCAGTACAGTACACATTATAGATACCTCGACCAACATCACACAACTGGCAGGTCTTGGTTCTAAGCAAGAGAGTCTAACTTGCAGGCATTCAGAGATGATGTAGTCTGCTTAAATGTTCACAAAGTGGCTGGTCACATAAAACAGACCAACAAACTATGCAACCAGAGGACATAAAAGCAGAGAAATATAAAATTAGACACTACTTACTTTTCAATTGCAAAACTCCTGTACAAAAATTACAAAACCTCTGTACAACAACAACAACAACAAAAAAAAAAGAATAGTCATGAAAAATAGCCTAAGTCAAGAAATTTATAAATCCATTGATACCTATGAATTTTATCCATATGCTTTATTTAAATGTTAAATATTTGGTAAAATAAAATTTTCTTTTTCCCTGAAAAAAGTCTCATTTTTCTATAACTTAAAAGTTAAGATTTATCTTTTATCTTTTTGAAAATGTTCTGTTTTTCCACAATAATACAACTCAGGCCGGGCGCGGTGGCTCACGCCTGTAATCCCAGCACTTTGGGAGGCCGAGGCAGGCAGATCACGAGGTCAGGAGATGGAGACCATCCTGGCTAACACGGTGAAACCCCGTCTCTGCCAAAAATACAAAAAATTAGCTGGGCGTGGTGGCGGAAGCCGGTAGTCCCAGCTACTCAGGAGGCTGAGGCAGGAGAATGGCAGGAACCCAGGAGGCGGAGCTTGCAGTGAGCCGAGTTCGCGCCACTGCACTCCAGCGCCACTGCACTCGCGACAGAGCGAGACTCCGTCTCAAAAAAGAAAATACATTTAGCAAAAACAAGAAAAATGCATTTTAAATATGTCAATACTTCATTCTTTAAAGAAATATGATTTGTTGTCATTATGGTTTAAAATATGTATTTGTTTTAATACTTGCATTCAAATGAATTATAATATTTCTTTTAAATACCTTGTTCTAAAAATGAAATTGAAACCTGCTGAGGAATGTTAGGGACTCCCTTGATTTAAGGTTTGTTTGTATCTATAACCTTGTAAGCACTCTTAATGCCCTTTCATAACTACTGATTTGGGTGACTCCATTTTGATTACCATAGATTCATAAAACCACAAGATTGGAAGAGACCTTGAGAGGTCGTTTACATCTCCACTCTCAGGTGGAACCCTACTTAACTGTCCCTGACAAATGTATGTCTATTCTATTTTTAAAGTCATGCTGTAAAGGAAGTTTATATAAATTAATTATACATATAGCTCTATAAAATAAAGAGCTCAGAATACTGCTACTGATTTAACCAAGCAAATTATTATTGATTCCACCAGATCTTACATGGCCCCAACTCTTTTTTTTTCCTTACAAATCAGTAGCATCTTAAGGATTCGAAATTCTCGTCTACTTCTGAGGATATAAGTAACGACTTCTCACCAGCATTTTTACTAACTAGAACAAGCGAGACACCACAGCAACTGCAACATTAGGAAAGGCAAAGTGTAAGTAAACTAGAATCCCTAATGCCAAACGATACTTTCAAATGGAGATCAATAAAAGTCAAGGTAAATACAGATATATATAAAATGCATTCTAGTAAATGAATGCAAATACTGATGAAGATTTTCCCTACTTTAACTTTATATGATCTTTCCCTGTGGCCTTACGTCTATTGCACACATCATTCATTAGATTATGAAAACCATTAATGTCAAGAAGCAGAACAAAATGAATTCACTAAGGGGCTGCTATTAGCATATCAAGCAGCTATTTCTCACTAAATATTCCTCACAGCTCTCATTACATATGATGGATGAGCTTTATAAGTAGTAGTAGTTTCCAAGGAAAATAAAAATCTTTAAGCCTACTACCACGTGTGGCTGAGAAACTAGCAATCATCTTTCAACAGTTTATGTTTTCCTTTTCTCTTTTTAAGGAGAAAGTGTTATAAAATTCACAGGTAGGTTAAATGCCCAAATCAAAATTCATTTAGAAACTGCAAGTCTAATGACCTAACTGTTGTAAGTGCTTTTGGTGAAGATACATTGGACCACTCGTCCAAATAATCTACAAACATAGGGAATGACAGTAAACTGAGAAAAGCATTTGGAAATTAGAATTTTGGAAGACTTTTTACTGGAGGTACTTAAAACAAGCAGAGGAACTCAGAACATAGGCTAAAAGGCAAAAAAAAAAAAAAACCCCACTATTCTATATTTTTTATTTTCAAAAGAGTATTTTAAAAACACTGTAAGTTTTATAGATTCTGCATATTAGCCATCTGTCAGATGAGTAGATTGCAAAAATTTTCTCCCATTCTGTAGGTTGCCTGTTCACTTTGATTGTAGTTTCTTTTGTTGTGCAGAAGCTCTTTAATTAGATCCCATTTGTCAATTTTGGCTTTTGTTGCCATTGCTTTTGGTGTTTTAGACATGAAGTCCTTGCCCATGCCTATGTCCTCAATGGTAATGCCTAGGTTTTCTTCTAGGGTTTTTATGGTTTAGGTCTAACATTTAAGTCTTTAATCCATCTTGAATTAATTTTTGTATAAGGTGTAAGGAAGGGATCCAGTTTCAGCTTTCTACATATGGCTAGCCAGTTTTCCCAGCACCATTTATTAAATAGGGAATCCTTTCCCCATTGCTTGTTTTTGTCAGGTTTGTCAAAGATCAGATGGTTGTAGATATATGGCATTATTTCTGAGGCCTCTCTTCTGTTCCATTGATCTATATCTCTGTTTTGGTACCAGTACCATGCTGTTTTGGTTACTGTAGCCTTGTAGTATAGTTTGAAGTCAGGTAGCTTGATGCCTCCAGCTTTGTTCTTTTCGCTTAGGATTGAGTTGGCAATGCGGACTCTTTTTTGGTTCCATATGAACTTTAAAGTAGTTTTTTCCAATTCTGTGAAGAAAGTCATTGGTAGCTTGATGGGGATGACATTGAATCTATAAATTCCCTTGGGCAGTATGGCCATTTTCACGATATTGATTCTTCCTACCCATGAGCATGGAATGTTCTTCCATTTGTTTGTATCCTGTTTTATTGCATTGAGCAGTGGTTTGTAGTTCTCCTTGCAGAGGTCCTTCACATCCCTTGTAAGTTGGATTCCTAGGCATTTTATTATCTTTGAAGCAATTGTGAATGGGAGTTCACTCATGATTTGGCTCTCTGTTTGTCTGTTATTGGTGTGTAAGAATGCTTGTGATTTTTGCACATTGATTTTGTATCCTGAGACTTTGCCGAAGTTGCTTATCAGCTTAAGGAGATTTTGGGCTGAGATGATGGGGTTTTCTAGATATACAATCATGTTGTCTGCAAACAGGGACAATTAGACTTCCTCTTTTCCTAATTGAATGCCCTTTATTTCCTTCTCCTGCCTGATTGCCCTGGCCAGAACTTCCAACACTATGTTGAATAGGAGTGGTGAGAGAGGGCATCCCTGTCTTGTGCCAGTTTTCAAAGGGAATGCTTCCAGTTTTTGCCCATTCAGTATGATATTGGCTGTGGGTTTGTCATAGATAGCTCTTAATATTTTGAGATATGTCCCATCAATACCTAATTTATTGAGAGTTTTTAGCATGAAGTGTTGTTGAATTTTGTCAAAGGCCTTTTCTACATCTATTGAGATAAACATGTGGTTTTTGTCATTGATTCTGTTTATATGCTGGATTATGTTTATTGATATGTTATTGATATGTTGAACCAGCCTTGCATCCCAGGGATGAAGCCCACTTGATCATGGTGGATAAGCTTTTTGATGTGCTGCTGGATTCGGTTTGCCAGTATTTTATTGAGGATTTTTGCATCGATGTTCATCAGGGATATTAATCTAAAATTCTCTTTTTTTTGTTGTGTCTCTGCCAGGCTTTGGTATCAGGATGATGCTGGCCTCATAAAATGAGTTAGGGAGGATTCCCTCTTTTTCTATTGATTGGAATAGTTTCAGAAGGAATGGTAACAGCTCCTCTTTGTACCTCTGGTAGAATTCGGCTGTGAATCCATCTGGTCCTGGACTTTTTTTGGTTGGTAAGCTATGAATTATTGCCTCAATTTCAGAGCCTGTTATTGGTCTATTCAGAGATTCAACTTCTTCCTGGTTTAGTCTTGGGAGGGTGTATGTGTCGAGGAATTTATCCGTTTCTTCTAGATTTTCTAGTTTACTTGCGTAGAGGTGTTTATAGTATTCTCTGATGGTGGTTTGTATTTCTGTGGGATTGGTGGTGATATCCCCTTTATCATTTTTTATTGCGTCTATTTGATTCTTCTTTCTTTTCTACTTTATTAGTCTTGCTAGCGGTCTATCAATTTTGTTGATCTTTTCAAAAAACCAGCTCCTGGATTCATTAATTTTTTGAAGGGTTTTTTGTGTCTCTATTTCCTTCAGTTCTGCTCTGATCTTAGTTATTTCTTGTCTCTGCTAGCTTTTGAATGTGTTGGCTCTTGCTTCTCTAGTTCTTTTAATTGTGATGTTAGGGTGTCAATTTGAGATCTTTCCTGCTTTCTCTTCTGGGCATTTAGTGCTATAAATTTCACTCTACACACTGCTTTGAATGTGTCCCAGAGATTCTGGTATGTTGTGTCTTTGTTCTCGTTGGTTTCAAAGAACTTCTTTATTTCTGCCTTTATTTTGTTTTATGTACCCAGTAGTCATACAAGAGCAGGTTGTTCAGTTTCCATGTAGTTGAGTGGTTTTGAGTGAGTTTCTTAATCCTGAGTTCTAGTTTGATTGCACTGTGGTCTGAGAGACAGTTTGTTATAATTTCTGTTCTTTTAAATTTGCTGAGGAGTGCTTTACTTCAAACTATGTGGTCAGTTTTGGAATAAGTGCAGTGTAGTGCTGAGAAGAGTGTATATTCTGTTGAATTCTCCACCAAATTTACAAGAAAAAAACAAACAACCCCATCAAAAAGTTGACGAAGCATATGATCAGACACTTCTCAAAAGAAGACATTTATGCAGCCAAAAGACACATGAAAAAATGCTCATCATCACTGGCCATCAGAGAAATGCAAATCAAAACCACAGTGAGATACCATCTCAAACCAGTTAGAATGACGATCATTAAAAAGTCAGGAAACAACAGGTGCTGGAGAGGATGTGGAGAAATAGGAACACTTTTACACTGTTGGTGGGACTGTAAACTAGTTCAACCATTGTGGAAGTCAGTGTGGCAATTCCTCAGAGATCTAGAATTAGAAATACCATTTGACCCAGCAATCCCATTACTGGGTATATACCCAAAGGATTATAAATCATGCTGCTATAAAGACACATGCACGCGTATGTTTACTGAGGCACTATTCACAATAGCAAAGACTTGGAACCAAGCCATATGTCCAACAATGATAGACTGGATTAAGAAAATGTGGTACATATATACCATGGAATACTATGCAGCCATAAAAAATGATGAGTTCATGTCCTTTGTGGGGACATGGATGAAGCTGGAAACCATCATTCTCAGCAAACTATCGCAAGGACAAAAAAACAAACACTGCATGTTCTCACTCATAGGTGGGAACTGAACAATGAGAACACATGGACACAGGAAGGGGAACATCACACACCAGGGCCTGTTGTGGGGTGTGGAGAGTGGGGAGGGATAGCATTTGGAGATATACCTAATGTTAAATGATGAGTTACTTGGTTCAGCACACCAACATGGCACATGTGTACATATGTAACAAACCTGCACGTTGTGCACATGTACCCTAAAATTTAAAGTATAATAAATAAAAAAAAAACGAAAAAAACACCATAAGTTTTTAACATGAGTGAGAGAAAATTATAATAGCTATAACAATATTGTTTGTTTTCCTGTTCAAGTGAGAAGAGAGAATTTTAAGTCTCAAGAATTACAACCATGTAACATCAAGACACTATAGTCTCTAAATCATATTTCAGAAACTATAGCACAGATTGAATTCAGCCTGTGGAAGTGCTTCATTTGATCTACACAATATATTTTTTAAATTCACATTAATTGTCAGTGTTTAAAAATCAAAGGATTGCAAACAGATGTCTACATTTCTGGTTACTTTTAAAAATGTAGCAGCAATTGTTAGATATATCAGCATTAATTCTCCCTTTTACCATAAACCTCTCCTCTCCATAGTGGTCCTTGGTGAATAGGCAGGGTGTTTGTAGTCTTTTATTATTTGAATTGTATTATCGTTTGTCTAATGGTGGAGAAATATTCCTCTATGAAATGCGGGGAAAACAATAGACTGAGAGGGTGATGTGATGTAAATATCTCCCTTCCAAAGTTCTTAATCCCCCTTGTGCTGGTATTAAGAGGTGGAGCCTTTTGGTAAGGGCCTCATAGATGAATTAGTGCCTTATAAAAGGCTTTTAGGCCCTTTTTGCCCGTCTGCCTTCTGCTATGTGAAGACAGAGCAACAAGGCACCGTCTTGGAAGCAGAGAGACTGGGCCCTCACGGACATGGAACTGATGATGCCTTAATATTGGACTTCCCAGCCTCCATAACTGTAAGAACATACATTTCCGTTCTTTATAAATTACCCAGTCTCAAGTATTTTATGATAGGAGCACAAAGAGATAACTAAGACAGAAGACTATCTAACACATTGACTTAGTTACTTATCTGGTCCTATTTTAGTTTTATAAATGGGCTTAACACAATCTACTAACATGTTTATTTCTTATTAAGAATGGGTTTTAGTAACAATGTGATATTAATCTTTACATTAATATTTTACACATTTATATATTTATATACATACCTGTGTATGTGTGTGTGTATTCATTGTGGTTATGTTTTGGAGATTATAAAAAAGTAACTGTATATAAAATATATAAGTTACATAGAAAGAAAACAAAATATTTTACTTAATCTTATACATATTCCCAAACATTTGGTGATGAGTCATCATGCAGATCAAGTAAGCTAACATGTCTATAACTCTAAAAGCCTATCTAAACCCAAAGAACTTCCCGTAACTCTCTTAACTATGTAACTTTAAAAGCACCTACTTATTTTTCATAAGGATTTCTTGCTTTTTAAACTAAAGATATTAAGTACTAATTAATTAGTGTTTTTATAATTTTAGTAATGTATTCCTTAAGAATGAACGAAAATATATATTTTTCATTCTTGTGAATAGAAGAACTTTTAATAATTACATATAAACTAGATTTTAAGTAGATACTAATTTATTAACATTTAGAACTCTTCTATATGTTCTATATGTTATATAGACTTAGCTAAAATAAATTTCAATAAAAAGAAAAATATAATTGACTAAGAAAATGCAATCTTATTTTCCATCCTCCTGTTCTATTTTAGTTTTCTTCAGGAGGAAATGTCTTTTGAGTGCTATAACAGAAAAGAAGTTTCAAAAAACATCTACTTAAACATATCATAGTGAGCATCAGTGCCTTATGTAATGTAGTAAAATCCCTAGCACATAGAGACCTCAAACCTTTTGTCTTTGTGGCAAAAATAGCTGGATGACAAAAATTCAGGTTCAAGCTCATAGAGGAAAATTACATCTTAACAATATATGTCATCATATTGCACATAAACAAGCTCGACCACAAACAAGAGAAATGCTAAAGGTTTTAGGTTTTCAGATAATTCAGAATAATGGAGTTTACAAAGGAAAATTTTCAACCAACAATGTTAACTCACATTCAGTTCAAATATTACCTCTTTTGGCAGTGGATAACTCTGGATAACTTCTGCCTATTTGTTTAGTGTTTCACTGCAATAGGATATATATAGTCATTTTATTTTAATAAATGTTCACTGAGTAGGAATCTTCCTTCTATAAACTCAGTTATGCAAGAAATACTCATTATATATAAATTTAAGTTCTGGTCTAGCCAGGCCACTGAAAAACTTAATCAGGGAGTCTTAAACAAAGTATAAAAATAGGAAAAGGGTCTCTGGTCACTTTATCAGGTTTTCCAGCCTTGTCTCCCATCTCATATCTGAAATGCAGCAGCACTTGGTTTCTTTGCAGATCCTGGCAAACCAAATACCAGAGTCCAGCCTCCCCCACTATCAATGAATGTTACCGCCAAGAAAGGTGAATGTTACTCAATATACCTCTCTGCAGAAAGACAGTTATCTTATAGGAATTGAGCAGTAACCTAACCCCAGAACGCCTTACTTAGGAAATATGCACTTAATATATGTTCAGATAAGAAAAATATTTACCAGAGGCTCCCAAATCCCATTTGGGGCTATTTCTCCTGAGAATCTCCAGAAAAGTATATTATTTTCCCTAAAAGATTGTGTGATTGAATTTATTTCCTCCCTGATTCCTCTCTATTTCTATTACACTGAATTATTTGCTTACACAAAATATTTGGAGGGAAGGAATTCTCTGTAAGAAAATTACAACCAACACTTTCTTAACTTACCATCCAGTGGTCTGGAGATACACCGAAATAAGATATGGATATGTCATTAAGGAACACACTTTACTTCACAGATACAAGCACAAGCAATTAACTGGAAGAAAGGGGAAAATCATACTGAAAAAGCTATAAACAACAGGCTCTAAGAAAATAGAAGGACACATAACAACATCTTGGGAAAACATAAAACAACACAGTACATCACAAACAACAACTGGGAAATCACTCCCTTTTCTCTCTTCTGTTGTTTTCCCAGGGCGTTAAGCATGAAATGGTGTTGCTTCTCTTCAGGACTTTTGAAGTGGACTTAAATGTAATGTAATTAAATGTCAAATGTAGACTTGAGAAAAATATCTGACGAAAGTGCAGTTTAGTTTATTTGATATGGAGTCTTAATTGTCTATAAATAAATTACTCTTAATATTTGAACTTTACATTTTTTATTACAGATCATTCTTTATCAGATAATATTAATTACTTATTCCACTATAGGTAGGTAGGTAGATAGAGATGCATACATATACATCTAAAATGAGATCCTGGAACTCCATTCAAACTTTTATACAGTCATGAGCCATATAACAACATTTTGGTTAATGATAAAAGGCATTTATAACAGTGGTTTTATAAGATTATAATAGAGCTGAAAAATTCCTACCATCTAGGGACAGCGTAGTCATCATAACATCGTAACATAACACTTTACTCATGTGTTTGTGGTGATGCTGGTGTAAACAAACCTACTGTGCTTCCAGTCATATAAAATTACAGCACATACAATTATGTACACTATGTAATACTAGTTAATGAAAATAAACGATGATGTTACTGGTTTATTTATTTACTATAGTATACTTTTTAAATCACTATTTTAGAGTCTGCTCCTTTTACTTATAAAAGAATTAACTGTAAAACAGCCTCAGACAAGGATTCTTTCAGTACATATTCCTGAAGAAGGCTTTGTTATCATAGGAGATGACAGCTCCATGCATGCTATTGCCCCTGAAGACCTTCCAGTGGGAGAAGATGTGAAAGTGGAAGACAGTGATGACCTTGGCTTTGTGTAGGCCTAGGCTAATGATTTTTTGTGTCTAAGTGTTCAAGAAAAACGTTTAAAAAGTAAAATAAGTAAATAAAATTTTAAGATAGAGAAAAGCTTATAAAATAAGGTTATTAAAATATTTTATACAACTGTACAATGTGTTTGTGTTTTAAGCTAGGTGTTATGATGAAAGAGTAAAAAAGTTAAAAACTTAAAAAATTAATAAAGTATAAAAGTTACAGTAAACTATGGTTAATTTATTATTGAAGAAATTTTTTTGTAAATTTAGCATAACTTAACTGCTCAGTGTTTATAGAGTTTGCAGAAGAGTACAATAACGTTCCATAACTTCACATTCACTCACCACTCACTCACTGACTCATCCAAAGCAATTTTCAGTCCTGCGAACTTCATTCACGGTAAATGCCCTATATAGGTGTACTATTTTTTATATTTTATTCCATATTTTTTCTGTACCTTTTCGATGTTTATATATGTTTACATATACAAACACTTGCCATAGTGTTACAGTTGCCTACAGTATTCAGTATGGTAACATTCTGGACAACCTAGTAGACTTGGAACAATAGTTTATACCATATAGCCTAGGTGTGCAGTTGGCTATACTATCTCGGTTTATGTAAATATACCCTCTGATGTTTGCACAAAGATGAAATCACCTAATCATGCATCTCTCTGAACATATGCCCATCATTAAATGATGCATGACTGTTGTTCTAAGAAAGAGGTCCTGAGAAATTGTTTTTAAATACTGGAAGGAAATTGAAAAAAATGTTAACAAGTGTTATCTTTTTTGCTTATTCTTAGAAATAATTTAAGATTCACAAGAAGTTGCAAAAATAGTACAGAGTCCTGTGTACCCTTCATCTTACTTTTCCCAATGAAACATCCTACGTAATCATGGTACATTTTTTAAACCAGAACATTGACATTTGTACAAACTATTAATTAAACTGCAGACCTTATTCAGATTTCAACAGTTTTTACTTGAATACAATTTGCAGGTAATCTTAATTTTCTTAAGTTTTCTGAATTTTACAGCTTTTTTCTAAATGTGCATATATATGTAAGTAGACAGATATATATAATACAAATACATACATACCTAAATACCATACATAAATACATTTACCTATTTTCTTTGCAAAAATGTCTGGACTAGGTTGTCCAAAGAAATGCTGCCTATCAAGAATAACCAAGGTTTTAGGAATAATTATCTTCATTTCCTCATTTTTATATTTTCTTCTATACCTCCAAGAAAATTTAATGATTTCAAGATTTCCACAATCCAAATAATTCCATTGAAATATTGTATTATAAAATAGAAGCAATTTCTATTGTTTAATACCAAAGCACACAGAATTTATGTTATTATTTATGCATCCAAAACAGAAATATCCACAATGCTTGTTTTGTTGTTTTGGTCAAACATGATCTTTCACAAAGATTGCAAGGAAACTTTAATATGAACAATAACCTGAGCCAGTTACTTTATTATTCAACATTTTGTAAAATTATTTTTTACTTCAGCTGTAATTTTCTTCTTACATTTTCTTTTCTTCAGAAACTTTTTCACAAAATGAAATTCTTCATTGTTCATTCACCAAAAAGTGTTGAATGAATGGCATGTGAATGACAGTAGAGGGCTTAAAAACATGATTGAGCTGTTATTCCTGCTGTCAGAGGGATAAAATGTGCACATAGATTATTGTAATGCATTAACAAAAGCTAAGGACCTAAGAGAAATTCAGACAGAGTTCAGAGGAGGGAGGAGTGACTTCAAGCCAATGGGAGGTTGTAGCACATTAGTGAGTAAAAGAAAAACTTTTATGCTGGATTCAAATGTTCTATTCCTTATTTTATTTGTCTTATTGAAATTTACCTTTCTCTCTGATCTCCATTTTTCTAATCTGTAAAATGGGAATACTATTAGTATCTATCTATTCACTTGAAGTTGATTAGTAGGTGTATTAGTCCTTTTCCATGCTGCTGATAAAGACATAACTGAGACTGGGCAATTTACAAAATAAAGAGGTTTATTGGACTTACAGTTCCACGTGGCTGGGGAGGCTTCACAATCATGGTGGAAGGTGAAAGGCACATCTCACATGGTGGCAGACAAGAGAAAACAGCTTATGCAGGGAAACCCCCTTTTAAAAACATCAAATCTCCTAAGACTTGTTCATTATCATGAGAATAGCATAGGAAAGACCTACCCCAAAAATTCAATTACCTCCCACTGCGTCCCTCCCACAACACGTGGGAATTCAAGTTAAGATTTGGATGGGGACACAGCCAAACCACATCATTCTGCTTCTGGCCCCTCTCAAATCTCATGTCCTCACATATCAAAACAGATCATGCCTTCCTAACAGTCCCCCAAAGTCTTAACTCATTTCAGCATTAACTCAAATCCCATAGTCAAAAGACTCATCTGAGAAAAGGCAAGTCTCTTCCGCCTATGATCCTGAAAAGTCAAAAGCAAGTTAGTTACTTCCTAGATACATGGGGGTACAGGCATTGGATAAATACAGCCATTCTAAATGGAATAACTGGCCAAAACAAAGGGGCCGTAGGCCCCATGCAAGTCCAAAATCCAGCAAGGTTGTCTAATCTTAAAGCTCCAAAATGATCTCCTTTGATTCCATGTCTAACATTCAGGTCACACTGATTCAAGAGGTGGGTTCCCATGATCTTGGGCAGCTCCATTCCTGTGGCTTTGCAGGGTAGAGCCTCCCTCCCAGCTGCCTTCATGGGCTGGCACTGAGTGTCTTCAGCTTTTCCAGATGCATGGTACAAGCTGCCGGTGGATCTGCCATTCCAGGCTCTGGACAACGCTGGCCCTCTTTTCATAGCTCCATGAGGCAGTGCCCCAGTAGGGACTCTGTGTGGCGGCTCCAACCCCACATTTCCCTTCTGCACAGCCCTAGAAGTTTTCCATGAGGGCCATGCTCCTGGAGCAAACTTCTGCCTGGGCATCCAGGTGTTTCCATACATCTTCTGAAATCTAGGCAGAGGTTCCCAAACCCCAATTCTTGACTTGTGTGCACCCACAGGCTCAATACCACATGGAAGCTGCCAAGGCTTGGGGCTTTCAGCTTCTGAAGCCACAGTCTGAGCTCTGTGTTGGCCCCTTTAAGCCATGGCTGGAGCGGCTGGGACACAGGGCACTAAGTCCCTAGGCTGAACATAGCAGGGGGACCTTGGGCCCAGCCCACGAAACCACTTTTTCCTCCTAGGCCTCCAGGTCTGTGATGGGAGGGGCTGCTATGAAGACCTCTGACATTCCCTGGAGACATTTTTTCCCATTGTCTTGAGGATTAACATTCAGCTCCTCATTACTTATGCAAATTTCTGCAGCTGGCTTTAATTTCTCCTCAGATAATAAGATTCTTCTATTGCATTGTCAGGCTGCAAATTGTTATGCACTGCCTCCCTTATAAAACTGAATGCCTTTAACAGCACCCAAGTCACCTCTTGAATGCTTTGCTGCTTAGAAATTTCTTCCACTAGATACCCTAACCATCTCTCTCAAGTTCAAAGTTCCACAGATCTCCAGGGCAGGGGAAAAATGCCACCAGTCTCTTTACTAAAACATAACAAGAGTCACCTTTGCTCCAGTTTTCCCAACAAGTTCCTCATCTCCATCTGAGACCACCTCAGCCTGGATTTCATTGTCCATATCATTATCAGCATTTTGGTCAAAGGTATTCAACAAGTCTCTAGGGAGTTCCAAAATTTCCCACATTTCCCTGTTTTCTTCTGAGCCCTTCAAACTGTTCCAGCCACTGCCTGTTGCCCAGTTCCAAAGTTGCTTCCACATTTTCAGGTATCTTTTCAGCAGCACCCCACTGTACTGGTTAGAATTTACCATGTTAGTCCATTTTCATGCTGCCAATAAAGACATAACTGAGACTGGCCAATTTACAAAAGAAAGAGGTTTGTTGTACTTGCAGTTCCCTGTGGCTGAGGAGGCCTCACAATCATGGCAGAAGGTAAAAGGCACATCTCACATGGTGGCAGACAAGAGAAGAGAGCTTGTGCAGGGAAACTGTCCTTTCTAAAAACATCAGATCTCCTGAGATGTATTCACTATTGCGAGAACAGCATGGGAAAGACCTTCCCCAACGACTCAGTTACCTCCCACCAGGTCCCTCCCACAACACATGGGAATTCAAGATAAGATTTGGGCGGGGATACAGCCAAACCATATCAGTGGGTGAAAGAAAATGTTGCATGCAAACCTTAGAATAGTTCCTGGTACACATATTTCGCCTAACCTAAGTGTGCTATGCATAATATTGGTTGAGAAAAAACTGACATTGAGGCTGTCTGTTATCATAGGATTAAGCAAAAGTTCTGGACAAACACTATGCTTGTCTTTCTCTGATAAATTCCTATATAAAATTTTTCATTCCTCTTTTCCAATATACACAACATATACGCCTAAAATAAAATTAAGATTCACGTTGTACATTTAGAATTGCGATCTCCTGTTTTTTCTTGTTTTTTTTAAATTTTGCTACTAAAACATTTCAAACTATTTTTACATTTTTCTCACACTGTTCTTACCTCCAGAGGGCTTTTCATTTCAATTTAACTTATGAGCAACCTCGGTTGGTCTTACCAGAGAGATGGGAGTCTAGAAAGAAAGAGATGGATATTCCAAAGGGTCTTTTTGCTTTATCTTAATTTTGATGGTTCCAAAAAAATACTATTTGTCAACCCTCCACTGTCCCTCACATTGATATACACATGCCCACACTCTAGGTGGGCTTGCAGGTTACCATGTTGCAAATGTGGCATGTGGACTGCTGCTCAGCCACCTACAGGAACAATCCACCGAAGATTAAAGAGTGGAGTCCTGAACTAAGTAAATGATGATTCTTACCAGTATAAGTCAATTTTCTGTTCTTTCCCTTCCCTTCAGGACCTGATGATATTTATCCAGAAAAAGAAAAAAAGATTAAGTCATGAGAATATGCCCAGTGACAATTTGTGCAGGGCCTATTCAAACCATTTGAATTCAAGTGGAATTGTTTCATCCTCATCATAGAGCCCCGTAAGTTCTGCCCACAAAATTCTGTCCAGTAAAGTTGCATCAAAAAAGTTATTTTTAGAAACAAATAAAAATGGTGTTATTGAGGGTATGGGTTTGAGGTGACACAAGAGTGTCTATAAATGTTACATAAAACAAAAGTTTTTAAAAGTGTTCATTTGTTATAAGATAGTGGAATTTCCTTGCCTTAATGAAGTTAAAAGACAACTTAATGGATTCTTTCTACCTGAGCAATTTCAAATTTCTTCAAAACTCTTTAACAATTTTAGAAGCACATGCTTCAGAATCTATTGCAAGTTTATTGAACAATTTATTAATACAAAGGAAACGAGGAAAATAAATCAATGAGAAGATTTTAGCCTAAAAACATTATCTCAACAGCATTTTATCTGCAATATAACCACTCATATGTGGTGGCTTGTTAGCCGCTATGGTCATAAATCTTAGCGTCCAAGAGACTCAGAAGAGATGATATACTGCCAGAAGCTATCTATCTATACACAAATACATGATATTTTAATCTATGAACTGTAATCACTTCTTGGAATTGATGACTTGAAAGTCTGGTCCAAGGCAATTCACTTATGCATAATTTTACACTGTTCCTTAGGTAATAATTTCACTTTTTGTCTGAGAGACTTTTACAGCACTGAGTGTTCTCCTTCAGTTTACAGACACCAAATCCTCACTGTTTCCCTGCCTTTCCACAGTCACACAGGTAACCCTAGCACCACTAACTGACACCTGAAATCTAAGCCCTCCTCCCTGTTCTCAAAGCCAACCCTGAGTTCTGAAAGGAGGAATAATCCAATTCTGGCACTGGATTCCAAAGCCCATTTTCATGAGGTCTCCCACATCAGTTTTTCACTCCAAGGAGTTGCCCCTTGATCTGCTAATTAGGCTCCTCCTGCTTTGCCCTCAAGTGCCAATATCCTTTCCTCTTTTTCTGGACTCTTCCAGTTTACATCAATAGACCTAAGTTTTATTTATTATCCCTAGTGCAACTTTAGCAACTTGTGTGGCTGCCATCTATACAAACAGTGAGGAGAAAGGAGTATGTAGTCTCTGGCATTGGACACACCTCGGTCAGAATCTAGATAGCACTGGTCATGTGAATTTAAGTAAATTTAATCATTTTATGGTGTATAGAAAATATAAGAAAGTTTTGAAATGCCATTAAATTGCTATAATTCTACACTATTGCAGAAGGCCATAAGCAGGCTACAAAGCATAATAATAACAGGTGATAAGAATTATCATCATAACTAAAAGAGAAAAGCAAATGTTTCAAATTAAGTAATTTTGGAGGTTTCATATATAGAAGAATATTGAGGAACTTCTCTAACACATTTGCATAAGTATTATTTAGGCCAAAGGTTTTCAAGTGGAAAGATATGGAAAATAAATTCAGGCATGGGTTTTGTAAATAATAAAATAGCTCCTCAAGTGATTCTGATATGGTCTTACACTTTCTCTGCAACCAGCTTCTTTGGAGACTAGACAAACCGTGATAAGATCAGTTTACCTAAAGATACTTTAGGGCTCATATTTCTTCACAAAGTCCAATCAATCTACGTAGCTTCCTTGGGCTATGTTAAATGTGACCATAAATTATGTATGTTGTCTGGACAGCAACGCACACACAGCCAGGTCATAATGAGATGGCACAAACAGGAAGAAAAAAGTCACCATAGATGACAATGAATATGGAATATCCACTTTCATTATAAAATTAGTAAAATTAACATATTTTCATGTAAATCCTTTCAGGAACTATGAATACCTCTTCTTCTAAATAAATCTCTGAATCTTATTGCCTCAGAAAGCAGCTGTGCTGATTAAATTCATTGACACAATGTGTTCTTATGTAACAGACCTGTTCTAAAAAGTATCGCCTGATGCCAAAACAATATCAGCTCCCTCTCTCCACCTCCTTTGAATGACAGCAACCTTTCTGAGATACCTACATGGTTAGGACCCAATACACCTGGGTAAGTATCCCCAATACTGAACACGTAGATTTCAGAGTTTATGACCTCTTTTCCCCACCCCTCTTTCCTTTTGAATCCCATCTATCAAACTACATTTCTTCAGCCTGGTCCTCACCTTTATCTTGCCTTTTTTAACTTAGAAATAACCCAGAGAATGTTGAAATATTTGAACACAGGCTTTCTCCATCAGACTATGCCTCACCTCTCCACTCTAGCAGTTGAGTTAGTTTTTTGAAAGTGCCCCTCACCCTATCAGGTATTGCTGTCCTGAGATGTAGGGCCTTGCTTCCTTATCCCACTGCAAATGCCCTTCCGGGCTATTTTAATTGTGAGATGGGAAAAACACTAATTCGTTGTTTGCTCAAATCTGCAAGTAACAGCCAATTTTGGCTACCAGTGATTATCTTAGTCATTAGTACATCTGTAAATAGAAATAAAATATATGTACAGGTATATCTCATTTTATTGCACTTTGCTTTATTGCACTTCACAGATTGCAATTTTTACACACTGAAAGTCTATGGCAACCCAATATCGATCAAGTCTATTGCTGCCATTTTCCAAAAGCTCTGTGTCACATTTGGTAATTCTCACAATATTTCAACTTTTCCATTACTATTACATCTGTTATAATAACCTGTGATCAGTTATTTTTATTTTCATTTTTTTTTTATTTTTTTGACACCAAGTTTCACTCTTGTTGCGCAGGCTGAACTGCAGTGGCTTGATCTTGGCTCACCGCAACCTCCACCTCCCAGGTTCAAGAGATTCTCCTGCCTCAGCCTCCCGAGTAACTGGGATTACAGGCATGTGCCACCACGCCTAGCTAATTTTTTTTTTTTTTTTAGTAGAGACAGGGTTTCTCCATGTTGGTCAGGCTGGTCTCAAACTCCTGACTTCAGATGATCCACCCACCTTGGCCTCCCAAAGTGCTGAGATTACAGTTATGAGCCACCACGCCCAGCCGATCAGTGATTTTTAATGTTACCATTGTAATTTGGGGGGGGCATCCCAAAATGTTTCCATATAGGATGGCAAACGTAATAAATATGTTGTGCATTCTGACTGCTCCACCAATCAGCCATTTCCCATCTCTCTCCCTCTTCTTGTCCTCCCTATTCACTGTGACACAACAGTATTAAAATTATGTCAATTAATAGCTCTATAATAGCCTCTAAGTGTTCCAGTTAAAGGAAGTTTTGTACATTGAAGTCTCTCACTTTAAATTTAAAGCCAGAAATGATTAAACTTTGTCAGAAAGTTATGTCAAAAGCTGAGATTACCCAAAAGCTAGGCCTCTTGTGCCAAACAGTTGGCAAAATTATGAATGCAAAGAAAAAGTTCTTGAAGAAAATTAAAAGAGCGATTCCAATGAACACACGAATGATAAGAAGCAAAACAGTCTCATTCCTAGTACAGAGAAAGTGTTAGTGGTCTAAATAGAAAATCAAACCAGTTACAACATTTTTCTAAGCCAAAGCCTAATCCACAGCAAGGCCCTAATGTTCTTCAATTCTGTGAAGGCAAAGTAAGGGGAGAAAGTGGCAGAAGAGAAATTTGAAGCTAGCAGAGGTTGGTTTATGAGGTTTAAGGGAAGGAATCGTCATACATAAAAGTACAAGGTGAAGCAGCAAATGCTGATATATAAGTTGCAGCAAGTTATCTAGAAGATCTCGCTAAGATAACCAGTGAAGCTGGCTACATGAAACAATAGATTTTCAATGCAGATGAAACAGCCTTCTATTAGAAGATTCCATCTAAAACTTTCACAGCTAGAAAGAAGCTAATGTCTGACTTCAAAGCTTCAATAGACAGGCTGACTCTCTTGTTAGGGACTAACACAGCTGATAACTTTAAGGTGAAACCAATGCTCATTCATCATTCTGAAAATCCTAAGGCTCTTATGAATTATGCTAAATCTACTCTGCCTATGCTCCATAAATGGAACAAGACCTATATGAGAGTATATATATTTACAGCATGACTTACTGAATATTTTGATCCCATTGTTGAGACCAACTTCTCAGAAAGGAAAGACTGCTTTCAAAATGTTACTGTTCATTGACAATGCATCTAGCCACCCAACAGCTCTGATAGAGATTTACAAGAAGATTAATGTTTTCATGCCTGCTGACAAAACATCCATTCTGCAGCCCATGGATCCAGGAGTAGTTTTGACTTTCAAGTCTTATCATTTAGGAAATAAATTTCTTAAAGCTATACTTGCCATAGACAGTGATTCCTTCGAGGGATCTGGGCAGAGAAAATTGAAAACTCTGGAAATATTCACCATTCTAGACACCATTAAGAACATTCATGATTCATGAAAGCAGTTCAAAATATCAACATCAACAGGAATTTGGAAAAAGTTGATTCCAACCCTCATGGATGACTTTGAGAGAGGTTCAAGACTTCAGGGAAGGAAGTCACTGCAGATGTGCTGGAAATAGCAAGAGAGCTAGAATTAGAAGTAAATCCTGAAAACTATGACTAAATTGCTGCAATCTGAAGATAAAACTTGGACGAATAAGGAGTTTCTTCTCACAGATGAGTAAAGAAAGCAGTTTCTCGAAGTGGAATGCACTTCTGGTGAAAAAGCTATCAATGTTATTGAAATGACAACAAACAATTTAGAATATTACATAAACTTAGTTGATAGAGGAATGGCAGGGTTTGAGAGGATTAACTTCAGTTTTAAAAGAAATTCCACTGTAGGCAAAGTGCAATAAAACTGCATTGCATGCGACAGGGAAATCTTTCATGAGAAAAACAGTCAATCTATGTGGCAAACTTTACTCTTCTTTTAAGAAATTGCCATAGCCACCCCAATCTTTGGCAACCATCACCCCGATCCATCAGCAACCACCAACCCGAGGCAAGACCCTCCACCAGCAAAAAGATTACAACTCACTGGAGGCTCAGATAATTGTTAGAAATTTTTTCATCAATAAAGTATTTTTCATTAAGCCATGTACATTTTTTGACATAATGCTATTGCACACTTACTAGACTGGAGTATGGTGTAAACATAAATCTTATATTGATTGGGAAGCTGAAAAGTTTGACTCTCTCATAATTTATCTCTTTATTGCAATATTCATTTTATTGTGATGTCTGCATATATATGAATTATGTTTCCATCTTAATTATAGGCCTAAATAAATGAAAGATGGTTGATTGTCACAAATGTCCTATTTTTTAAAGTCGAAGATTTCTAACAGGAAATAGTCTGAAGACTACATTTGGTAGCAATTATTTTTAAATTAGACTGCTTTGTGGCCTTGTTTTTTAAAAAGTGTGCACAAATGTATGTGACATATGCAGTATTTTTTGCACCTTGAAACATTAGTTTAAGTTGCAGTTTTAGAATATATATATAAATATAGATATAGATATATATAATCATATAATAAAAGCATGTCAAAATACACAGTGTATTGTCTAATATTTTGAGATAAAAGAATATGTCACTAACCAAGAAGCCCCAAAACTTCTCTTCAGTTTTATTTTAATCTAGTCAGACCCAATTATATCTACATCTTTATTTAAAGACTTCTGTCTCAAGCCCATCTCTACAGGGAAGACCCATATCCAGTTACTTGGGTACCAGAGTGTAAGTCTCATCCTCCTCTGGGTGCCATTATAATCCTTTTTAGCTCCATAGCAACTCTCTGCTGTGAGCCTAAAATACCAGATAACTATCATTTACTGAGCTATTAAAATAAAGGCTTTTCAGCTTCCTCAGGTGCAGAATTGAAAAGAAGCCTAGAAGCCTGGAAGGCTTACCTGTCTGACTAAGTCCCACAATCTATCAATTACACAGAGTGGTTTATGTCACCAGTGATCAATGGAATCTAATTCCTCATTCTAGCTTCTTAGTGCTATAGTCTATATCTTCTGGCTTCTTGCTATTGAGTCTATTTGTTGCTGGTTTCCTGTTTCTTCCCTCCTTTCTTCCTCTTGAGTGGTACTATAATTAATGAATGCTATTGTTTCTCAGACTCTTTTGTTGCCATTTAATCAGTTTTACAGTGTATATAAAAGATAAGAAAGCTTTGAAATGCCTTTAAATTGCTACAATTCTACACTATTGCAGAAGGCCATAAGCAGGTTACGAAGCATAATAATAACAGATGTTAAGAATTATCATGGTAACTAAAACAGAAAAGCAAATGCTTCTTTTTTTTATTTTTTATTTTATTATTATTATGTTTTAAGTTTTAGGGTACATGTGCACAATGTGCAGGTTAGTTACATATGTATACATGTGCCATGCTGGTGTGCTGCACCCATTAACTCGTCATTTAGCATTAGGTATACCTCCTAATGCTATCCCTCCTCACTCCTCCCACCCCACAACAGTCCCCAGAGTGTGATGTTCCCCTTCCTGTGTCCATGTGTTCTCATTGTTCAATTTCCACCTATGAGTGAGAATATGCGGTGTTTGGTTTTTTGTTCTTGCGATAGTTTACTGAGAATGACGATTTCCAATTTCATCCATGTCCCTACAAAGGACATGATCTCATCATTTTTTATGGCTGCAGAGTATTCCATGGAGTATATGTGCCACATTTTCTTAATCCATTCTATCATTGTTGGACATTTGGGTTGGTTCCAAGTCTTTGCTATTGTGAATAGTGCCGCAATAAACATACGTGTGTGTGTGTCTTTATAGCAGCATGATTTATAGTCCTTTGGGTATATACCCAGTAATGGGATGGCTGGGTCAAATGGTATTTCTAGTTCTAGATCCCTGAGGAATCGCCACACTGACTTCCACAATGGTTGAACTAGTTTACAGTCCCACCAACAGTGTAAAAGTGTTTCTATTTCTCCAAATCCTCTCCAGCACCTGTTGTTTCCTGACTTTTTAATGATTGCCATTCTAACTGGTGTGAGATGGTATCTCATTGTGGTTTTGATTTGCATTTCTCTGATGGCCAGTGATGGTGAGCATTTTTTCATGTGTTTTTTGGCTGCATAAATGTCTTCTTTTGAGAAGTGTCTGCTCATGTCCTTCGCCCACTTTTTGATGGGGTTGTTTGTTTTTTTCTGGTAAATTTGTTTGAGTTCATTGTAGATTCTGGATATTAGCCCTTTGTCAGATGAGTAGGTTGCAAAAATTTTCTCCCATTTTGTAGGTTGCCTGTTCACTCTGATGGTAGTTTCTTTTGCTGTGCAGAAGCTCTTTAGTTTAATTTGATCCCATTTGTCAATTTTGGCTTTTGTTGCCATTGCTTTTGGTGTTTTAGACATGAAGTCCTTGCCCATGCCTATGTCCTGAATGGTAATGCCTAGCTTTTCTTCTAGGGTTTTTATGGTTTTAGGTCTAACATGTAGGTCTTTAATCCATCTTGAATTAACTTTTGTATAAGGTGTAAGGAAGGGATCCAGTTTCAGCTTTCTACATAAGGCTAGCCAGTTTTCCCAGCACCATTTATTAAATAGGGAATCCTTTCCCCATTGCTTGTTTTTCTCAGGTTTGTCAAAGATCAGATATTTGTAGATATGTGGCATTATTTCTGAGGGCTCTGTTCTGTTCCATTGATCTATATCTCTGTTTGAAGCATTCCCTTTGAAAACTGGCACAAGACAGGGATGCCCTCTCTCACCACTCCTATTCAACAAAGTGTTGAAAGTTCTGGCCAGGGCAATTAGGCAGGAGAAAGAAATAAAGGGTATTCAATTAGGAAAAGAGGAAGTCAAATTGTCCCTGTTTGCAGATGACATGATTGTATATCTAGAAAACCCCACTGTCTCAGCCCAAATCTCCTTAAGCTGATAAGCAACTTCAGCAAAGTCTCAGGATAAAAAATTAATGTACAAAAATCACAAGCATTCTTATACACCAATAACAGACAAACAGAGAGTCAAATCATGAGTGAACTCCCATTCACAATTGCTTCAAAGAGAATAAAATACCTAGGAATCCAACTTACTAGGGACGTGAAGGACCTCTTCAAGGAGAACTACAAACCACTGGTCAATGCAATAAAAGAGGATACAAACAAATGGAAGAACATTCCATGCTCATGGATAGGAACAATCAATATCATGAAAATGGCCATACTGCCCAAGGGAATTTATAGATTCAATGCCATCCCCATCAAGCTACCAATGACTTTCTTCACCGAATTGGAAAAAACTACTTTAAAGTTCATATGGAACCAAAAAAGAGCCCGCATCACCAAGTTAATCCTAAGCCAAAAGAACAAAGCTGGAGGCATCACGCTACCTGACTTCAAACTATACTACAAGTCTATGGTAACCAAAACAGCATGGTACTGGTACCAAAACAAATGTTTCAAATTAAGTAATTTTGGAGGCTTCTTATATAGAAGATATTCAGGAGCTTCTCTAACACATTTGCACAAGTATTATTTAGGCCAAAGTTTTTCAAGTGGAAAGATATGGAATATTCATGCATGGGTTTCGTAAATAATAAAATAGCTCCCCAGATGAGTCTGATATGGTCTCACACTTTCTCTGCAATCAGCTTCTTTGGAGAATAAACACACCATGATAAGATCAGTTTACCTAAGAATACTTTAAGGCTCATATTTCTTCATAAAGTCTCATCAATCTACATAGCTTTCTTGAACTATGTTAAGTTGGACCATAAAATATGTGTGTTGTCTGGACAGCAAAACATATATAGCCAGGTCATAATGGGATGGCACAAACAGGAAGAAAAAGGTCACCATAGATGACAATGAACATGGAATATCCACCTTTCATTATAAAATTAGTAAAATTAACATATTTTGTGTAAATCCTTTTAGGAACTATGAATACCTCTTATGCTAAATAAATAAACACTGAACATGGATAGAAACATCCAAGTAATAAAAAGAGGCATGTGATCTACTGTCCCTCTCTGAAATAGTTAAATAATATCCATTGAATAAGGAAGCTAGTAAATATTTGTATTAATTCATTCTATTTTTAAGAATCTTATTATAGTCATGATTAAGATGAGTATAGCATTTGAGAAAAATTTCACTTCATCTTTTGCAAAGAATGCTTCTTGCTGAATAGAACTTTAAAATAAGTCATGTTAGACTATCTCTGAATTAAGGGATGATAATGAGTTTTGGCTAGAAAGGAAAAGAGGTCGAAAATCGCTAATGGCAGAGAGTTAAGCTCTCCTATTCAACTTTCCTTTATCTCAATATCTTTGGGTTCCAACTACATACTATAATTCTGAAAAATGTAGTTGGTAAGATACAAAATGCTAAGAAAGCCTGAGACATCAATTGAAGATTTTGTACTGATCATGTAAAGGGCATTTTTTTTTTAGGTTAAACACTTGAGAACAGAATGTTTTGCAATATTTCACTATTCTTACTTTGAAGGGAAAATACATCAAGTACGTGAAAACAATATTTTACTATCCAAGGGTAGGAATAATATGGGGAATAGTATGTATTATAGTCAAGAGACCTATGTTTGGAATCCATTTTCACACTTGATTTACCACTCCATAATTTACTGCCACCATACATCATCACCTCTTTCAGTTACAAAACACAAAAAGTAAAAATGTCTTGTCTCATAAATATAGTAAAAAGAACCATTAAAGAAGGAAATGCACAAATAGATAGTGCAAATTATCCCCATACAAATACAAAAATAAACAAACTACTATTATCACTGAAGGCAGGTGCCTAGAGTTAGTAAAACTGCAAAGTTTAAGGGCACAGTCTCCTGTAAGACTTCCCTTGCTTTTGACACTAACTGCAATTTTGGGAGGTGCCGAAAACTACCCTCAGTTTGATAATTCACTAGGGGAACTCACAGAATTTACTGAAAGCTAAGATACTTATGGTTACAGTTTATTACAGAAAGTGATATAGATTAAAATCAGCCAAGGAACTATTATGAATTCATAAAAGTTAAAATTTTAAAAACAACTAAGGGAAGAAATGCAGAAGGCAAAGTACAAGTGGGCTCCAAGCGTGGAGCTTCTGGTGTTCCTTTCTCATAGTATTAGGAGGCATTACTCTTTTGGCATCTGTATATGAAAATACACATGAAGTAGTGCCAACCAGAAGATCCCTTGAGTTCAGTGTGTAGAGTTTCTAATGGGGCTTCCTTATGTATATGTGATTGATTGATTGATTGATCATGTGATTGGAGTCATTCTCCAAGTTGGCTGATACTGGGTGACTCAGAGTTCCCACCCTAAATCATAATATTGGTCTTTTTGTCATGGCCAGCCCCTATCCTAAGACTATTGAGTAAGCTCCTTCCCCTTCCCCTAGGATCTGGAGTGGCAGCCTTCACCCTAAACAAAAACACTTCTATCAAAAAGGCATAAGTTACTTTCCAGAAGCCCAGGGTAAAGACCAGACTTCTCTTTGGACAAGGTCAAATTTTTTATTATACAGGCCACACTTCAATTTTTGTCCAAGGCTCTCGTATAGAAAGACAACTATGTGGCCAGGTGCAGTGGCTCACACCTGTAATCCCAGCACTTTGGGAGGCCAAGGCGGGTGGATCATCTGAGGTCAGGAGTTCAAGACCAGCCTGACCAACATGGAGAAACCCCATGTCTACTAAAAATACAAAAATTAGCCAGGCATGGTGGTGCATGCCTATAATCCCAGCTACTCGGGAGGCTGAGGGAGGAGAATTGCTTGAACCCTAGAGGCAGAGGTGGCGGTGAGCCAAGATCATGCCATTGCACTCCAGCCTGGGCAACAAGAGTGAAACTTGAAAGAAAGAAAAGAAAGAAAGAAAGAGAAAGAAAGAAAGAAAGAAAGAAAGAAAGAAAGAAAGAAAGAAAGAAAGAAAGAAAGAAAGAAAGAAAGGAAGGAAGGAAGGAAGGAAGGAAGGAAGGAAGGAAGGAAGGAAAAGAAAAGAAAGAAAGAGAGAAAGAAAAGAAAGAAGGAAGGAAGGAAGGAAGGAAAGAAAGAAAGAAAGAAAGAAGAAAGGAAGAAAGAAAGAAAGAGAGAGAGAAAGAGAGAGACAGAGAAAGAGAGAGAGAGAGAAAGAAAGAGAAAGAGAGGGAAGGAAGGAAGGAAAGAAGGAAGGAAGGAAGAGACAACTATGTAACTATGTTTCTCTGGGCATCCACATTTAGTATGGCATTTATATGACAGAAACAGCAAATCATTGCAAATATGCTTAATATTTGGAGGACCCAGTGTAGGGTAGGAAAAGAGTTAACAAACAACTGACTCATCTTATAAAGTCATTCCCTTGATGTATCACTATTTGTACCTTATGAGAAACTTCTGCAGAACTATTTAGCATAGAAATTAGCTGATACTTAGATAAATCCATGCCTTTTTTATGCCAGTCATTTTCTATCAGTATTACATCTGAAATAGGTTGTATTAGTCCATTCTCAAGCTGCTATGAAGAAATTCCCAAGACTGCGTAATTTATAAAGAAAAAAGTTTCAGTTGACTCCTAGTTCCACATGGCTTGGGAGGTCTCAGAAAACTTACAATCATGGCAGAAGGCACCTCTTCACAGGGTGGCAGGAGAGAAAATGAGTGTCGAGTGAAGGGGGAAGCCCTTTATAAAACCATCAGATCTTGTGAGAGAACTCACTCACTATCAGGAGAACAACATAGGGGAGACCACCTCCATGATTCAATTATCTCCACCTGGCCCTGTCCTTGACATGGGAATTATTACAATTCAAGGTGATATTTCAGTGGGGACACAGAGCCAAATCATATCATTCTGCCCCTGGTCCTTCCCAAATCTCATGTTCTCACATTTCATAACACAATCATGCCTTTCCCACAGTACCCCAGTGTCTTAGCTCATTTCAGGATTAACCTAAAAGTCCTAGTCCAAAATCTCATCTGAGATAAGGCAAGTCCCATCCACTTATGAGCCTGTAAAATCAAGAGCAAGTTAGTTACTTGGAAGATACAATGGGGGTACAGGCATTGGGTAAATACACCCATTCGAAATGGGCCAAAACAAAGAGGCTACAGGCCCCAAGCAAGTCCAAAATCCAATAAGGCAGTCCTTAAACCTTAAAGTTCCAAAATGATCTCCTTTGACTCCATGTCTCACATCCAGGTCATACTAATGCAAGAGGTGGGCTCCCACAGCCTTGGTCAGCTCCACCCCTGTGGCTGTACAGGGTTCAATCCCCTTCCTGGCTGCTTTCATGGGCTGGTATTGAGTGTCTGTAGCTTTTCCAGGCACATGGTTCAAGCTGTCAGTGGATCTACCATTCTGGGGTGTGGAGGGTGGTGGCCCTCTTCTCACAGCTCCACTAGGTGGTGCCCCAGTAGGGACTCTGTGTGGGGGCTCCAGCCCCACCTTTCTTTTCTGCACTGCCCTATTAGAGGTTCTCCATGAGGGCTCTGCCCCTGCAGCAATCTTCTGCCTGGGCATCCAGGCATTTCCATACATTCCCTGAAATATAGGTGGAGGTTCCCAAACCTCAATTATTGACTTCCGTGTACCTGAAGGCCCAGCATCATGTGTAAGCTGCCAAGGCTTGGTGCTCGCACCCTCTGAAGCAATGTCTCAAGCTGTACCTTGGCCCTTTTTAGCCATGGCTGTAGCTGAAGCAGCTGAGACTCAGGGCACCATGTCCCAAGGCTGCATAGAGCAGGGGTCCCTGGGCCTGGCCCACAAAACCATTTTCCCCTCCTAGGCCTTTGGGCCTGTGATGAGAGGGGTTTCTGTGAAGGTCTCTGTCACACACTGGAGACATTTTCCCCATTGTCTTGGTGAATAACATTTGGCTCCTCGTTACTTACACAAATTTCTGCAGCTGGCTTGAATTTCTCCCCAGAATTTGGGTTTTTCTTTTCTATCTCATCATGTCCGGCTGCAAATTTATCATACTTTTATGCTCTGCTTCCTCTTGAACACTTGGCCACTTAGAAGTTTGCTCCAACAGATACCCTAAATCATCCCTCTCAAGTTCAAAGTTCCAGAGATCTCCAGGGCAGGGGAAAAATGCCACCAGTCCCTTTGCTAAAGCACAGCAAGAGTCACCTTTATTCCAGTTCCCAACAAGTTCCTCATCTCCATTTGAGACCACCTCAGCCTGAACTTTATTGTCCATAACACTATTAACATTTTGGTGAAAGTCATTCAATAAGTTTCTAGGAAGTTCCAACTTTCCCACATCTTCCTGTCTTCTTCTGACCCCTCCAAACTGTTCTAACCTCTGCCTGTTACCCAGTTCCAAAGTTGCTTCCACACTTTTTGGATATGTTTACAGCAGTGCCCCACTACCTGGTACAAATTTACTGCATTATTCATTTTCACACTGCTATGAAGAAATACCCGAGACTGGGTAATTTATAAAGAAAAGAGGTTTGATTTACTCACAGTTTCACATGGCTGGGGAGGCTTCAGGAAACTTACAATCATGGCAGAAGGTACCTCTTCACAGGGCAGCAGGAGAGAGAATGAGTGCCAAGTGAAGGGGGAAGCCCCTTATAAAACCATCAGATCGTGTGAGAGCCCACTAACTTTCACAAAAACAGCATGGGGAAAATCACCCCTATGATTTAATTATTTCCACTTTGTCCCACCCTTGACATTTGGCCATTATAATTCAAGTTGAGATTTCAGTGGGGAACCAAAACCAAATCATATCAGAAGTTGTGCCTTATCAACACATTTGACCATCAATATCAGTATTAGAACCATACCAACAATGCCAGTGTTACAATAGTATGTCACAGTATAGCAGCAGATGTCACCTAAAAATAAGAATCAAAACATGCTAACCCATTACTAGAATCCAATTAAGTTGTTAACAATTAGTCTAGGCCACCATCATATCATATGATGCAAATATCTCCCAGAGCAATACAACTCAGGTTTGCAGGTATCCACTCAATCTTGTCAGATTCCGACAGCAAGACTGATCTTAGCAAGACACAGCTTCACTCTTGTAAGCATCTAGTATAATTAGCCTAAGAGGCAATATCATCTCTTGCTCTGAGCTTTTCTCAAGGCATAAATGTAATATTGGATTTCCTTCATTGCATAATCCACTTATTCATTATTTCTTTCTTTCTTTATTTTTTTGAGACTGAGTCTCATTCTGTTGCCCAGGCTGGAATGCAGTGGTGTGATCTCAGCTCACTGCAACTTCTGCCTCCTGGGTTCAAGCAATTCTCGTGCCTCAGCCTCCCGAGTAGCTAAGACTACAGGCACGCACCAACACACCTGGCTAGTTTTTGTATTTTTAATAGAGATGGGGTTTCACCTTGTTGGCCAGGCTGGTCTCGAACTCCTAACCTTAGGTGATCCACCCGCCTCAGTCTCCCAAAGTACTGAAATTACAAGCGTGATCCACTGCACCCAGCCCCACTTATTCATTCTTTTACTTTTAGTTACTAGTCCTCCTTTTTTCATTTATCATTTAGTTTAATCCAAACTTTTCCTCCTCCATGGGATGGGGGTGGTATGGAGGAATAAAGTAAGACAAAGCCTTTATTTTGCTGGGAGGAGGGGCTATTTAAGGAGGGACTATAGAAAGTATAAAGAGGCAATGCATAAATGTCTTTACTCCTTACTTCCCACTACCAACCACCAGATAGACATGTGAAATGGAATGCATGATTTGGTAGAAGGTTCATAGAGTTTTGGGAAATATGAGAATATGGCTTCATGATATTAATATTAGGTTGGTGCAAAAGGAGTTGAGACTTTTGGCATTACTACGTTATCTAAGATGCCATTGGCTCCACAGAAAGACCAAAGCCACACCAACATGGTGTGCATGGGGAGAAAGCACAGCCATAACAGCTGAAGGAACTACCAAAGGGGAGCTCACAGAGGACCCTAAAAGTGTACAGAAGGTATTGGCTTTCCAAATTATTGTGTTTATCTTCATATGAAGTTGAGCATTTTTTGCTATGTTTATTGGCTAACTGGCCGTTCTCTTCTGTGAATTTCCTATTTATAACCTATATCCATTTTGAATTGGGATGTTCATCTTCCTTTTATTAATTTGTAAGGATTTTTATGTATTCTACATGCCAATTTCATATATAGTGCAATTATCTTCCCCAACTGGTTTTATATTTATAAGCTATGGGTGTGATATATTTTGTTATACAAAGTTTTAATTTTGATGTGTCAATTTTATAATTCATTTTCCATATGATTTATTCTTTGTGTGTGTTGTAGAAATTCATCTATATCTAGAATTGATTAAAATATTTGTTCATGTTTTCTAAAAAACTGTGAAGTTGTTTTTGCATTTAGATACTTAAGCCATCTGCAGTTTATTCTTTTTCTTCATGGAGTAAAATTAGGATCTAATTTTACCTATCCCATATGGAAAGCCAGTCGTCCCATTACCACTTATCTAAAAATTGATCGTTTACCCACTGATGTATCGTTCCTAATATATCATATGAATGCTTTTTCTATATTAAAAGCATTATATGATTAATTCTGTTATCTGTCAGTATTGAATAATATTATATAGCTTTACTAATATTTAATAATCTTCGCTTTCCTGATATAAATGTTAGTTATCATATATAAATATACAGGCTTACTTGTTTAATCGCTAAATTCATTTGCGTACTAATTAGAATTTTGGATCTGTATTCATGAGAAGAATTAATCTATTGTTTCCTTTTTGTATTATCCAGAATATAGAAAACATTATTCTGTTTCTTACAGAAAATATTATTCCAGCATCCTAAAGATTTACCCAAAGTTTAAATGTTAAAATGACCATGCTATCCAAAGTAATCTACAGAGTCAGTGCAATCTCTATCAAAATACCAATTACATTCACAGAAATAGAGGGGGAAATCTGGACAGGAATCACAGAAAACAGAGGCGAGCAAAGACACAAAGTAACCTGCAGAGCTAGGACCAGCAGGGAGCCAGGAGAAAATCCCTTACTTGGGGAAGGGGCCAGTGAGTGACAGAATTCTGGGGTTTCACACCCTGCCACTGACCTTTACAATCTTAATAACGGGAGAACCCCCTCATCACCCCCAGGCCTCCAGATTAAGACGGAGCTGCTTAGAGACTGTGCAGAGACTGCTCAAACCCACGTGCAGTTCCACAGGCATTTGATTCCAGAGCAGCCCAGTGACAGATGCCACATCCCCACTAGGTAGGGAGTGAAGAGACCAGGCACTTTCACACACCCAATCACAGATATTCCAGCTGTGGTATGGAGGAGTGGACTGATTAGTCAACCTCTACTGCCCCTCACTAAACAGGACCTGCCCACCTTGGTATCAGGTCCCCAGCACAGCTGCCCAGCCCCTGCATGAGCACTACAGCCACACCCCAGTGTTCTCCTGAGAGTCCAAACCTCTGAGGCCACCAATAAGTCCTTCCACCCCTGCAGCAGCCACTGCCACCACTACCACTGTTTCCTTCCCTGCTGTCCTGGGCCAGGGAGGAAGCCAGGAGGCCAGGCACTTTCATGCACCCCAAAGACAGATACCACAGCCATGGTATGGAGGAGTAGGCAGACTGTGCACAGCTTGACTCCTCGCCTCTACTGCCCCCCATTAAAGGAGGCTTGCCTGCTTCAGTGACAGGCCCCAATTACAGCCCTACCCCCATGTGAGCACTATGGCTGGCCAGACATTCTTCTGAGAGCTGGCCCCCTGAGGGCCACGAAGCCCTTCATCTCCCACAGTAGTTGCAGCCACAACTGCCTCTGCCCCTGCTGTCCTCAGGTTGGGTGGGGGGAGCGGGAAGGCCAGGCTACCCCCAATAACAAAACCCACCACTGCTTCTGTGAGAGAGAAGTGCAAGTGGGCCATGTGCTCCAGAGTTGCCAGCCTCCATTGCCCTAGCTAATGTGGACTGCCCTCTCCAATGAAAGACCCACAGCACAGCCACCCTGCCCCTGCCTGATCATTCCAGCTGTGGCCTGGAGTTCTTCTGAAAGCCCCATCCACAGGCCTGTGATCTGCCCGTAGGCTCCCACTGCCTGAGTGTTCCGCCAACCACTTGAGCATTCTGCCTACTCCTGCCTCAGAGTTCTGTCGGTGATCTGGGGACCAGCCCATTTCTTCCTATCACAGTCAACATCAGAATTCTGGGGCCCCAAGAACAAGTCAGCTGGTCTGGACCTGGTCCAGGTCCAGCCCTTTTAACACTCATACACTCCATCCAGTGGGCCATCTAGGGACCTGGGGATTGAGAGATTACCTAGCATGGTCCACCAATGCTGGCACCTCACTACTCCTTCCAAGGATTAAGGTTGGGTTGACCCAACCAGCCAACACCTACCAGCACATGCTGAAAAGAAGAACCCATCCCCCTCTCTACCAGAAGCAGCAGCATTACTACATGAAAGAACAGGTGAGCTACAGCACTGTCTGTATTGGGCTGAGTGATTAGGTTCTGCCCCCAAACCACGCCTGCACAGCCACAGGACAGGCATATTCCAAGGCTCTCAGCTACACTGTGGTCTGAAGATTGACAAGAGTGTGCATCTGAACCCAGAGTCATGAGTCCCAGAGCAAGGGCAAGAAAGGGAAATAAATGATGTTCCTGCCTATCTGGGCTGTGAATGTAGTGTAGCCCTCTCACCCGCTGGAGAGACCTTGACATATTTCACCAGGTATGTCCCCAGCTGCCCAGTCAGGGCTGGTGCCAGTACTCATCACTGGGGTATTCATGGGCAAGCCATGTGATCCAGGTCTGCCCAGCTGTGTCCTTACCCTACCCTAACCAAACGCTTGCTGAACAGGAAGCTCAGGACACCAGGCATTCCACTGTCCAGCCCATCACCTGAAACAACAGGCAGCACCTCACAATGAACAGAGGTCAAGTACATACCCATCTGCTTTTGCTGGTCAGATCTTACCCATAAGTGCCGCCTACTAGTCTAGAGGTTGAACTACACAACCCAATATAACCTGCCAACAGAAGTGCACAGGGCTACAGAAACAAAGCCAAATAACTCTACCCAGCACACGCTACAGTCACATCCTCAAGGCGTGCAGGGATAAAATAAAAATAGAAAAAAAAAATCAAACAAAAGTAAATTGAAAAAAAGGAAGTGTCAGCTTCTCCAGATGAATAGAAACCAGCATAAGAATTACGGCACCATGAAAAATCTGAAGGTTACGATACCTTCAAAGGATCACACTAGCTCTATAGCAATGGACCCTAACAAAAATGAAAATTTGGAAATGACAGATAAAGAATTCAAAGTATGGATTTCAAGGAAGCTCAATGAGATCCCAGAGAAGATTAGAAACTAACACAAACAAAGCACAAACACAATCCAGGAGATGAAGGAAAAGAGGGGTATCTTAAAAAACAAAACAGAACTTCTGGAAATGAAAAATTCACTTGAAGAACTTCAAAATACAGCTGAAAGCTTTAACAATAGATTACACGAAGCAGAATAAAGAATTTTAGAGTTTGAAGACCAGTCTTCCAGATTAACCTACTCAGACAAAAATAAATAAAAAAGGTTTTTTTATAATAAACAAAGCTTTTGAGAAATATGGAATCATGTAAAGCAACCAAACCTACAACTTTCAGGCATTCCTGAGAGAGAAGAAGAAAAGAAAAGACATTTTGGAAAACATGTTTGAGAGAATAATGCAGGACATTTTCCCTTATTTTGTTAGAGATATAGTCATCTAGATACAAGAAAATCAAAGAACACCTGGAAGATACTATACACGATGAACACAACCAAGGCACATAGTCATCAAACTCAAGGTCAACACGAAAGAATGAATCTTAAAAGCAGCTAGAGAGAAGCATTAGATCACCTCCAAAAGGAATCCCATCAGACTAACAGTGGACTTCTCAACAGAAACCCTATTAGTCAGAAAAGGTTAGGGGCCTATTTTTTTAAAAAATTGTCTTAAAAAAAACTGCCAGGCAAGAATGTTACATCCTGCCAAACTAACTTGCATAAATGAAGGAGAAATAAAGTCTTTCTCATACAAGCAAACACTAAAGGAATTCATCACCACTAGACTGATCCCACAAGGAATACTCAAAGGAGTTCTAAATATGCAAACAAAATGATGATACTCAACATCATAAAAGGGCACATGAATACAAGGCCCACAGATCCTATAAAGCAGTTACACAATTACAACCCCAAGTTAACACACAACACTATGACAGGAACCAAACCTCACATATCAATAACCTTGAAGATAAATGGCCTAAATGTGCCACTAAAACGATATAACGTGGCAAACTGGATTTTAAGAAAACAAGACCCAACCACCTACTGCCTACAAGAGATCTACCTATTGGCTAAAGACACTACAGACTCAAAGTAAAGGGGTGAAAAAAGATATATCATCAATGAAACATAATAGAGAACCCAAATATAAAGCCACATGCCTGCAACCAATTGATCATTGACAAAGTCAACAAAAATAAACAATGGTGAAAAAACACCATATTTGATAAATGGTGCTGGGAAAATTGACTAGCCATATGTAGAAGAATGAAACTGGACTCCTATCTGTCTCCATATACAAAAATTAACTCAAGATGGATTAAAGACTTAAACATGAGACCTGAAGTATAAAAATCCTAAAAGAAAACCTAGGAATGACTCTTCTGGGAATTGACCTAGACAAAGAGCTTATGACAAAGATAGACAAATGGGACATAATTAAACTAAAAATCTGCAAGGCAAAAGAAATAATTAAGAGTAAACTCATAGCCTACAGAATGAGATAAAATATTTGCAAACTATTCATCTGACAAGGGACTAATATACAGAATACACATGGACGTAAACCACTGAACAGTAAAAACAAAAAAAGGAGAAGAGAAAAAAAAAAGAAAAAAACAAGCAACAACAACAACAAAAAAAAATTCCATCAAAAAGTGGGCAAAGGATCTGAGTAGACATTTCTCAAAAGAAGACATACAAATGTTCAATAGGTATATAAAGAAATGTTCAACATTACTAATCTTTAGGGAAATGCAAATCAAAACCATGATGAGATATCCTCTTACCCCAGTTAGAACGGCTACTATGAAAATAAATAAATAAATAACAAATTCCAGCAAGAATGCAGAGAAAAGTGACTTCTTATTTAATATCAGTGGGAATATAAATTAGTACAGCCATTAGAGAAAACAGTATAGAGGTTTCTTAAAAATCTAAAAATAGAACTATCATATAATCTAGTAATCCCTCTATTGGGTATTGATCCAAAAGAAAGAACATCAGTGTATCGAAGAGATACATGCACCCACGCTTATTGCAGCACTAATCACAGTAGCCAAGATATGAAATCAACCTAAGTGTCTGTCAAATGATGAACAGATAATGAAAATGTGGTATATATACACAATGGGATACTATTCAGTCATTTAAAAAAAAAGAAATTCTGTCACTTGCAGCAACATAGATGGAACTGGAGGTCAATGTAAGTGAAGTATGTCAGGCACAGAAAGACAAATGTCACCTCTTCTCCCTCATGTGGGAGCTGAAAAAGTTAATCTCATGAAGGTAGTGCATAGAATGCTAGTTACCAATGGCTGAGAAGGGTGCAGGAAGGGATAAAGAGAGGTTGGTTTATGGGTACAAGTATACAAATAGATAAAAGGAGTAAGTCCTAGTGCTTGACAGCACAATTAGGTGACAATAGTTAATAAGAATTAATTGTATATTTCCAAGTAGCTGGAAGAAAATATTTGAAATGTTCCAAACACAAAGAAATAATGTTTGAGGTTATAGATATCCTAAACACTCTGATTTTATCATTACACATTTTATGCATGTATCCAAATACAATATGTACCCCATAAATATGTATAATTATTATGTACCAATAAAAAAAGAAAAAGTAAATTAATTTAAAAAGAAACCTTTTATGCTTTAATGTATTTAAGAATTAAATGCTTAAGAGAATGCCTCTTTATCTTATATCCATTCCATTAAGTATATTTCATTTTCCGATCTAAGTAATGGCTAATGACAAATTAAACAGAGACATTGACAGTGTCATTAATGTGGCAGAATATAAAATGCTATATTGCTATCTTCACATTATTTAATATAATTAAATGACACCATTTAAAAATGTTATGTTTTTGTACTCATAGTAACCAGTTTATGGTATTATGTTTTCTCTATTCATAATAAACCCAAATATGTTTTAAGCAAATTATATTAAACATGATTCTCAATGCCTCCAAATGCTTTATCTGTATTATAAACTTATTGTAACTGTATATATTGAAAAAAATCCAGTATGCATGTTTCCTAGATTGATAAAATAAGTCATAGAGGGCAGGGACTTGACCATAGAATTTCTAAGAAATTCAAAATTGTCTAAATCTTTGTACATATTTTTTCACCTATGGAGACAAAAAGAAGAGCATTTCTTTTATCACTAGAGAAAATTCTTGATGTTTGACTTATAAAAGTGACGACAATAGAAATGTTTTAAGAGAAGAAATCATTAGCACCTCTGAAATATATGGCATGATATTATTTTTTTCCAGTGGTAAATATGTTTCTTAACAAAAAACAATAAACAGAGGAGTGAAGTATGCAAAGGAGTGCAGCTTATAGAATATGAAGTGTAGATATGGAGGTATAAAGTATGGAGACATTGTTCAATAACTAAATACCAGCCCTGACTCACTGTGATTATATTACTTCAGCAAGTCATTTAATCTAAATGTCATTATTCAAGGTCTCTTAGGAGACAGTTAGTAAGCACTGCTCTAGATAATTCCTTCTGTCTCATTTTTATCACTCTATTAAAGTTTATCATGTCTACTTAGGGAAAGTGGATCTTGGAAAAGACCTTTAAGCTTTATCCAGTCCAAAGTGATATACAAGAAGGATGCATCTAAATGATAACAGAAAGCTGTGCTTTTTCTCCAAGTCTTATTTTATAAGACTTTACAGTATTCTATCACACTCCATTTGCCTGAAAGATCAAAGGCCAGTAGAAAAAAAAAGGCCATTGATCCAGTTTTATCTAAAGTGTGGCATTTCATCACCTAAAGGAGTGATACAATTAATTTTTCTGTATGTTTTACGCAATTTTGGCAATCCTAGAAAATGCTTTAGGTCTGAAAGAAGCTTGAATTATTATTATATTCAAGCACTTCATTAGAAAGGCAGCTTTGATTGTTATGGCGTTGAACAGGGCACTCTTAAAAGATGCACCTTGTACCTTCTTCTGAATTAATTATTGGACATTCCTATTAACCCTGCACTATTAGTATCTTCAAGTAGTTTTAGATCACCAATACTACTTAATGGGTCTGTTTTTAAGAAGGCAGATATGGGTAAACCACAAGGAAATAAACACATGAAGATGTTTATATGTTATTTGCCAATCATTTTGAAGCTTTTGAATGGAACCAGAGGGAATAGTAATATTAGATCCTTTGAAATGTATTTTCTAACAAAATGATCAACAATATAAGTTGTAATTAAATCTAAGTGATACACTTCATATGGCCAAAGCATAAAACAAGTCAATATCTATAGTGTGACTAAATTCATTCAACCCAACTTATTGGGCTATCCAAGATATAAAGACCATGAACATGGCAATTTGACCAAAGACACTATGCTCAATCATTGAATAAATATCAATTCACCACTAGAGAATACAAAGACATATAATGTCTGCTTGAATAGGACTGAAGCTTCAAATTTAATCGCAGGTATAAAGCCTATCCACTTAAATAGAAAACTCAAAATAAAATGTGATATAAAATTGTCAGAGAAGCACTAGAGATGAAAGGTATTGTAGAAGTTCAGGGACATGTCATAATGAACTGTTATTTTTAAGAAATATTTTTCTGATGATAAGTGGAAAACAAAGTAGGCTTCATATGAATATAACATAGTTTAAGAAAAAAATGAATAAAGGATTAAAGTGGTGCAAAAAAAACCAATGTGAGGTGAAATGAATGGCATACACTTTTCAGAAATTGAACAGGTTGAGGATATCCAACCAGGAGGGCCCAAAAACCAAGCTTATGTAAGGAAGTGAGATACAGGCAATATTCCTTCTCTTGATATCCTCCACTATACATAGTTAAGGGTTATTATTTGATGGGTCACTGGTTCTCAGTAACAGGTGTCTGTCTGTCAGTTGCGTTTACCCCCATAAGAACAACCTTGGAATGAGTGACAACTAAAACTACTAGACCAAGACTTGGAACACAAATCTGCCAATGATCCTGATTATTCTGCTGCTTTAATCTGGTTGCAGTAACTCAATGCAAAAAAACACAAAGAAACTCCCATTCCTATGTCTGAGAAACATAGTGATAGTTTCTTCTGTAGTTCACATCTGTGGATTAAAAAAGGTTTACCTGATGCATTAAAGAATAAGTATTCAATCCAAAGTTTCATTTTCTCTGTGGATGTCAGCAAATAGTATTGATCAGTAAACAAAGAAGGAGAAAGTGACATAGAAATAATCTCCAAACAGCCTATAGATAATTTATGCAGACATTAAGGTTATTCATAGAGACTCCAGATATAAATCAAGAAATAGAAGCAAACGAAGTCAGTTTTTGAAATAGACTATAAGAGAATATTTATGCCAAAGCGATGAATTGTCATGATATTCTTATAGACTACCAGTGCTCTCAGACAAAGTATGAACCTGGGCCTGGACAAAATAGAACAGAGAGGTCTTATGGGAGAATATCAGAAAATTAAGTTGAAGAGATAAGCTGTAGCTATATTTCAGAAGACCACTAGTAAATTCTTCTGCGTCAGAATGCTATGTGCATCTAGTCTATCAGAGACCTTTCATATCCTTCTATTTACCCATCCCCTATAGAATACGTTTAATGTAATCCACTTCAATTTGATGAGAACACACACCACATGGAGAAACCATGATATATATGATGAGAAATGTATTTAAGTCCAAAAAATGATCATGTACTTTATTAATGATGTGCCCTATGAAACAATATTAAAAATTGAGATTATGCATCAATTACAATAAAGAAAAAAATATAGTTTAAGGTTTAAAACCTGAAAAATATTACTGTTGGCTCAAGCAAATGAAACAAGAACTATATGGCTAAAATATAAAAAATAGAAGGTGATGTACAGCAGCATTATGTACTAAAATTCAAGAGGAAATATTCCTCTTTTTTATAATATGTATATCCTTATATCTATAGAGATATATACATATATAGATAGTTATGTGTAAATATACTTTTTAAATTAATGTGCAGAGAGAATATTATTGAATCAGGAAGAAAATTTAGTAGAAACTAAGAGTGCAAAAATAATTCCAGAGTTACATTCTATCAACTTCCTCTGGGTATTATGAATCACCAGGAAACATTTCTATCACTATGAGACACATTGCTGGTAACCTCAACCTGGCTTTATTTCATACACCTCCTTGAGATTTCTGATCTTTCTGATCTTTTCTGGAAGAAAAATGTTTTAGTATAACCTGAAAATAGAACAAGGTAGCAGAGAGCCTAACATGAATGCCACATATGTAGGATAAACACGTGTATGAAAACTTAATTTGGAGTTAATAAAATTGTAAAAGGAGTATGTTTGGGGATTTGTTTTTAATTTGAGGGAAGTGTTAGTTAATAAGGATGCCATTAGAAGTCCAAAATGTTAACTTAATGAAACCCTCCAGTTACATTCTGTTAGATTTTCCCATTAACAATATTGACTTTTAGCAGTAGTTCTCATTAGACATTAAAAGAATATTAAAGAAATTGAAATAAAGGACACTTTAAATCAGTAAAATTAGGGTATATAAAGAATAGCCAAAATCAAGAGTAAACATTTACAAGAAGAGTTACAGTAAACTTCCCAGAAGATCAGAAATATCTGAAAGACCAAATATAAAAAATGTACTCAAAGTCTGTATCACAATGTCAACCCATGGTGGGTATGCTTCAATTAGCCTAACAAATTATTTAGATTTGCATTTTTAATGTGAGTATTTTCACCTCAAATCTATTGAAAGTGCCAGATTACTATTTAGATTAGGTATGAGTGGAAACCATATATAAAACCTGTAAGCTATCACCGAAGGATCTAGGTCTTTGGTCTTGGATGGTAAATGTTTTAGAACCAGCTCTCTGGGCAGGTGGGGGAGGGAAGCCTCCATTTTCGTTTGCCAATTTCCGTGTTATAAATATGACCATCACTGTGACCAGTTTCAAGCTTTATTATAAGTGGCTGTTTTTAAAATATGAAAGATTTGGGGCTGATAATGTTTTATTTTTGTACTGGTTTTACTTTTAATGGCTAATACATAAACATGTTATAAATAATCCTTATGAATAAATGTTTAAATAGTACTAGAATGAATATCCTTATCTGTGCATCATATTCTTATGTGTGACATGTAATATTTTAATGCTTCATGAAATATGCAGTAGAAATATCATGTTGCACTACTACCCACAGCCCAAAGCTTTTGTTAAAGCAACAGACTTATTTATTACATGATATGAGTTTCCTTTTCCAGTCCAGGGAAATTGGAGTGTATGAGCTTCTGACACCATTGGCTTGCCAACATTTGTTCCATGGGCACGGCATGAGAACATAAGACAATTAGATTTTCTTTTTCAAAAAATATTTTAAGGGATTTTAATTCACTCATTACATTTGGCATCTTTTCATCCATTCTGGCTTTCATTTCTAATATTTTTCTTATTGTCTTGAATATATTAATTACTTCCATTTTAAAGCCCTAGCGTGATTTCAGTATGTAGATCATCTGTGTTTGTTTCCACTTTCTGTTTCTTTGTTTCTCTTTGGATGTTGTGTATAAAAAATGTAGAGGTTCTGAGACTGTTATCTACTTCCAGAGAAGGTTCATCCTTTTCTTCTGCAGGCAGATAGAAGAAACACTGATCACCTTCTTCCAGCTAGGGACTGAACTGACCTGAGATGGCACTGCAGTTTGGGTATGGTCCACCAACCTCTGCTTTGTTGCAGTTCCCAGGGTATCTCCTTTCAGGGGTTTTTAATTGAAAGGGTGAGAAGCGGGGTCTGCAGAGCTTCTCTCATGAATACTAGCATTCCTGGGTTCTTGCCACTATGAGACTGCTAGCTTTTTACTCTTTCAGAAGAATGTTGAGTCCAGTCCTTGGCTTTTTTTTTTTTTTTTTTTTTTTTACAGGAAATTCTGCCTCCTGAATCACTTTTTTTTTTCTCTCCGGTCCCATGAAATTATTAAAATTTCTACCAGTTTCTTTGTATCTGAGTGATGTCAACTCTTACTCCATTCTGAGAATCAAAAATGCCCTGAGGGTGGAAAAGGAGGGTTGCAGAATATCCTCTCATCTCTCTGCTCAGAATCTACTTTATCCAGATTTTATCCCCTCAAGACTTAGTTGTTCCAAGTCTTTCTCAGTGAGAGCACTGGTCTACCACACACTCCTCTGTCATTGCTGGAACCTGAAACAATTTTCCTGGGAATTTGTACTAAGAAAATCTAACTGTAAGTAAGCAAGCAAGAAGAGAATGAAATCAGTTAGCAGTAGGTACTAAGACTGTAAAATCCATAGAAAGGAGAGGTTGGAGACAAAGCTAATATTATTATGCTAGGCCAAAGTTACAAGAAAAAGAAGACAGTAAAATAATAAAATGATATAATGCTGCTTATAGCAGCATCCATTGACCTAGTTCTCTTTAAAAAGTTAAAAAGTTAATATTCAACAATAAGTCTGTCTTTTTTTAATGTAATAAATTGAGTTAAAGAAAATCAAACAGGTTTTTCAATACAGAAATCATCAGCCTCTTAAATAATTTCATGGGCTTTGTGAATCTCTTAGATCTCTTAGATAATGTACATTATCCCAAATGTATTTGACCAGGTAATATTTTCATCACAAAATTGTAAAAACTTAGACGCATAGGTGTCCAAAAACACTTGAAAAACTAAAAAGTTGTAACATATAAACAAACTAAAACCATATGGAATAAGTAGGAAAAAAATGAGGAACTATTAGTATCCATCTACTAACATATGGCAGATCAGCTGGCCAGAGAGTGGCTGAATGAGTAGTACTAAAGTGAAAACATATCTACTTGTATTTTGAGGTCCCACAAACACTTTAGATGCAGGCATGTAGCCTGTACTACTTTTTATATTCCTGGATTCCCCCAAACAACCATACATCTCTATTATCAAGCAAAAATATTCATAGTAACTACCTCCACCAAAAAAATGAACATAATATGAAGTACAAAATAAATTATTTCAACTAATATCTTTTATTTGGTAAAAATTTCCTTCCATTAAACTTACCCCACTACATTTACATATTAAATATATTCTGCGAAATACTTTGTTTCAGACGACAAATCTCATGGGCATTCTTTTTTTTTCCCACACTTGAAATGTTTTTGTTCACTTGTTTATTCTGTAGTTACTTACTGAGGGTATTTGGGCAGGTCTTTGTGCTAGGGAGAAACAAAACTAATCTGTATGTGTTAGTCTTTGCCACACAACAAAATACCCAAAACAACAAATATGTATTCGTTCTCATAAATATCTGAAGTGGCTGAATGGTTTTCTATGGTTGGTTGGTTTGATTGATTGTTGTTTTTTTTCTTCCAACTTTTATTTTAGGTTCAGGGGGCACTTGTGCAGATCTGTTAGCTGAGTAAATTGCATGTCACTGGGGTTTGCCCTATAAATTATGTTGTCACCCAGGTAGTGAGTATAGTACCCAATAGGTAGCTTTTCAATCCACAGCTTTCTCCCACCCGCCACCCTCAAGTAAGCCCCAGTGTCTACTGTTCCCTTCTTTGTGTCCATGTGTACTCAGTGTACAGCTCCCACTTACCAGTGAGAACATGCAGTATTTCTTTTCTGTTCCTGTGTTAATTCACTTAGGATAATGGACTCCAACTGCATCCATGTTGCCGCAATGGACATGATTGCATTCTTTTTATGGCTGCATCGTGTATATATACCACATTTTCTTTATCCAGTCCACGGTTGATGGGCACTTAGGTTGACTGCATGTCATTGTTACCGTGAATAGTGCTGAATGAATATACACATGGATGTGTCTTTATGGTACAATACTTTATATTCCTTTGGGAATATACCCAGTAATAGGATTGCTGGCTCTAATAGTAGTTTTAAGATCTTTGAGAAATCTCCTAACTGCTTTCCAGAGTGGCTGAACTAATCTACGTTCTCACCAGTATTGTATAAATGTTCCCTTTTCTCCACAATTTTGCCAACATTTGTTGTGTTGTTTTTTGACTTTTTAATAATAGCCATTCTGACTAGTGTAAGATGGTATCTCACTGTAGTCTTGATTTGTATTTCCCTAATAATTAGTGATGTTGAGCATTTTTTTGTATGCTTGATGACTGTGTGTATGTCATCTTTTGAGAAGTGTCTGTATATTTCTGATATGGTTAGGCTTTGTGTCCCCATTCAAATCTCATCTTGAACAGTAGTTCCCATAATCCCTACATGTCATGGGAGGTGGGAGGTAATTGAATCATGGGGGTGGTTACCTTCATGCCGTTCTTGTGATAGTGGGTGAGTTCTTATGAGATTTGATGGCTTTATAAGGGGCTCCACCAGCCCCTTAGCTTTGCATTTCTCTCCCCTGCTGTGAAGAAGGAGGTGTTTGCTTCCCCTTCTGCCATGATTGTACGTTTCCTGAGGCCTCCCCACCAAGGCTGAACTGTGAGTCAATTAAACCTCTTTCCTTTACAAATTACCCAGTCTCAGGTATGTCTTTATTAGCAGCATGGTAACTGACTAATACAATGCCCTTTGCCCATCTTTAATAGGGTTGTTTTTTCTTTGCTTTTTGATTTAAGTTCTTTATAGATTCTAGATATTAGACTTTTGTCCAATGCATAGTTTGCAAATATTTTCTCCCATTTTGTAGGTTGTCTGTTTACTCTGTTGATAGTTTCTTTTGCTATGTAGAAGCTCTTTACTATAATCAGGACACACTTATCAATTTTTGTTTTTGTTGCAATTGCTTTCGGAGTCTCCATCATGAAATCTTTGCCACGGTCTGTATTCAGAATGCTGTTTCCTAGATTCTCTTTTAGGGCTTTTATCATTTTACATTTAAGCTTCTAATCCATCTTGAGTTTATTTTTTATATGGTTAAGGGAAGAGATACAGTTTTAATCTTCTGCAAATGGCTAGTTATCCCAGCACCATTTACTGAATAGGAAGTCCTATTTCCACTGCTTGTTATTGTCAACTTTGTCAAAGATCAGATGGTAATAGATGTGTAATAGATGTTTATTTCTGGGTTCTCTAACTTGTCCCATTGGTCTACGTGTCTGTTTTTGTAACAGTACCATGATGTTTTGGTTACTGTAGCCCTGTAGTATAGTTTGAAGTCGAGTGGTGTGATGACTCAGAATTCGTACTTTTTACTTAGCTTTTGTCTATTGAGGCCCTTTTTTGCTTTTATATGAGTTTTAGAATAGTTTTTTCTAATTCTGTGAAAAAAGACATTGGTCATTTGATAGAAATAGTATTGAATCTGTAAATTGTTTTCAGTAGTATAGCCATTTTAAAAAATGACCCAATATTCATTTTCCTATTGCAATATTTAACAACATTGACTTTTTCAATTCATGAGCATGGAATGTTTTTCATTTGTTTGTGTCATCTCTAGCTTCTTTGAGCAGTGTTTTGTAATTCTCATTGTAGAAGTCTTTCACCTCCCTGGTTAGCTGTTTTCCTAGGTAGTGTGTGTGTGTGTTTGTGTGTGTGTGTGTGTGTATTGTGAATAGGCTTGCGTTTTTGATTTGGCTCTGAACTTGGACATTATTGGTGCATATAAATGTTACTGATTTTCGTACATTGATTTTGTATCCTGAAACTTTACTGAGATTGCTTATCAGTACTAGGAGTCTTCGGGCAGAAACTATGATGCTTTTTAGGTATAGAATCATATCAACTGCGAAGAGATAATTTGACTTCCTCTCTTTGTGTTTGGATGATGGGCATTTTTTTGCACTAAAAAAATTAATTCTGCCACCAAGTGGTGTTCTTGATTACCATAGTCTACTGATACAATTAGTGTAAATACTGGACCACTAAGTGTGACCTCCTGTGAATTAAAAACTAATGCATCTTCATAAAGTCTCTGTTTTGACTTGAGAATGCTTCTATTATTTTGCATTCATTTTATATGTTAATATTATTCTGAGTTCTTCTATTAAGCATATTTTTGCTACTCTATACAAATAAAATTTAAAATACCTTTTGTGAACAACAATACACAATTCAAGAATAAAATATCTTATGACACAAGGAAAAATGAGGAAATGAAAGTCTATACTATTCATTTTTATTTGTGTTACATTGAAAAAAAAACAACTAAAGGTAATTAACTGAATTGTCTTCAGAGAAACTTTTGTGATGGCATATTGACCCAATATTCATTTTCCTATTGTAAACCAATGAAATGTATTGTTAGAGTTTCTGCAGATGCATAAACTATTTTTATTCTTCATATATTAAACAGAGCTTGAAAATAAGTAGTGAATTTTAAAAATGGGAATGAGAGAAATGAAAGAGCAAAGGAAAACATGATAGACAAGTATTTTAGAATAGGTTGTCTTAATTATCAAACAGATAGCCTATGTCCCCTGTGCCAGGTACAAAACAAAAGACAGTGTGGGGACTGTGACAACCTAGGAAGTATGTGCTACACCCATATGTTTTCAGATTCATTACTTATATAGTGTTAGGCAAAACAAAACACAACAAGGGCTAGATCCAGTATGTGGGTTACCACTTTTCAACCTCTGCTTTGACGTCAACAACCCCAGAAAGTAGTAAGAAGCAAGTTGGAGAAGACAGGTTCTATTAAGAATAAGACATAACATCCACGGATTGCTTTCTGTAGCCCAAGACTGTTGAATGTTTAATAGATATTTTGTTAAGATAATAACAACATATAAAGTGACACTATTAACAGCTCTCCTTTACAGATAAGGACTCCAGTAAAATTTACCATTGGTCATTTTCATTTACAAAGCCTAGCTTTTTAAAAATAACTTATTTATTGAAGCTTTACTCTACATTCCAGATACTTCACCAAGCATTATTTGATGTATTTCTCACAAACACCTTTTAGAGCAGGCTATAACTGAGGAAACTAAATCCCCAATAGGTGAAATAAGAAGTTAAGTAGCCAAGCCCAATAAGTAAGCCATGGAGGCGAATATATGTTATCTTTAGAAACCTGGAATTCTTGGCTCCTTTGGGCTTTTTGGTAAGTCCTAATGGAAAACAGTACTGGGTTCAGAGTGGTCAGAAGCCATAGAGACATGTCCCTTGAGCCTCCCTGGCTCTTTATCTGAAGCAATCCCACCCCTCTATTGCTATGCTTTTGCTCACATTACATGACCAGCATCTTCCAATAGTTCAGCTGCCATTTTTAACCTAATTTTTCTTAAGCATATGTTTTATAATTCTTCATAATTTTCTCTTTCTAGGACAAGTTGTTTCTTTAAAATCCATACTATCTCAAACAGAATATCCTTTACAATAAAGAAAAACTACTTCTGGAAACATACTGCTTCCAAAAGAAAATTGCTGACATCCCCCGAGTGATTAAGTATAAGAAATACATCGTTGTGTGTGTTTACATAATGACACTTTTTCAGCCCAGTGAAATTTATATAAATAAATTTTAATTGTCATGAAAATGTAAAAATAATAACTGTTTCATTAAGTAAGCTTCTGTTTCTTTAAGCCTAAATAGGTTTCTTTCAGAAACTAGTTCTGTAAAAACATCCAAGAAGACTCTCCCACTGCTTGCCCCTCTGAAGTTAGCCTTAACTCCTGTGTCTGTTTTAATCCTCACTGTTTCCCCTTTCTTTATATCCTATGAATGCCAATTTCTGGCTGTTTTCCTCCCACCAGTTCCTACTTATCTCCCAATCACATGTCAGTACTCAAACTGTCAATGCCTTACTCAATACCCAGGGCCTGGGGTTTCACCAGTATCAGTTTGTACCCCTCAAGGCTGGCTATAGTAGAGTAGTTCATTTGTGAGTAAAAATTGGTAACAATTTCCCTTAACAGAGCTACGGGATTCCTAACTACCTCAAATTTCTAAATTGGAACACACAAAAATCAGCCCAGATCTCCAACCACAATAAAGGAAAACCTTTTCTATCTGGAGAGAACAATCATCAAGGGTGATTGCTTTAGTGCACCTTATATACCTTTGAGTCTCTATATTTCAGGCTGCTAATACTCTTTTGAGAATTAGAACCACTTGCTTGATGGACTGATTTCTTACAGAAATACCAGAAATCAAACACTACCGGTTCCTGTACCTCTCATCTCTATCTTTCCCAGTTATTGGACAAAATACTAGGCCCTGCAGGCTGTGGTCTTCTCACTATCTAGCATCTGTTTGCAGGGCTTTTTTACTCACCGTTTTAACTGACAACATTCAAGCCAGAATGAAACCTACTGTAAACAAATGTATCCAGGTAGCTCCTTCTATCTTCTGGCTTTAATTGAAACCTGACCCTTCCCCAAAAAAGACCTTCTTTTCCCTCATGCTCATTCCTCTTAGTTGAAGCTGCCCATTCTCGAATATACTGGATTGCAATGAAATTTTCCATGCTTTTTACTGATGCTTTAAAACCATAAGTTCTTGACATTTGTATAAAAAACAGACAATAACAATTATGATCATAATAATGCTAGTAATAAACTTAAGGTGCTGACAGTAGTTATGCACCTCTTTCTGCTCTTTACATTTGCCTTTGCCGTTTACTGACCTCCTGGCTACGCTTCCTTATTTGCCTAGAATTTGGGTCCCTGGCTCATTAGCTTCCTATCTTCCCTGTCTTCATGTTTATGGCCCATTAAGTAAACTAACCTCGTAAATGCTTGACCTCTTAAGCTCCAACACAGTTTACTGGCACTCCTCTAAGTATACCTCTCCCATGGCTCTTTTTGGTCTTATCATAGGATAGATATCTGAAGTATCACATTGAAAGTATAGAGGAAAGCATATAGTGGTGATTACAGCCATAATTTTTTTTTAGCTATCTCAGGCTGCAAATGTGAAACACGGAAAGAATTCAACCCAAAACTTCAACCAGATTTCAAGAGCTATTTCTTTTGATATAGTCTAAAGCTCTATAGATTGATTTTATTCCATATCGAGTACAGAATCCAAGGTACATAACTTTAATTATCTCTACCCCCTAGAATCATCTATTAGTCAACTCACATTTATTTTCTTATTTAGCTATAAAGACCTGGCTCCAGGTTCAGCAACTCTGGGAATACTTTCCTGAACCTCAACTCCAAACAGGTACAACTGCTCACTGTACCATATATGCATTTCTACCCAAATGCCTACCATACTTTATTGACCTTGTTTGCATAGCTACTTCTTTTTATGAGATTATAAACTCTTTAATAGCAAATATCCTATTTTATTTCTGGATCTCAGTGCCTCACACAGAGATCAACACCAAGTAAGCTTAGTCTATGTCTTCTAAATGAATCAACAAATAATTCTTCTGAGAAACTGCATAGATTTAACTGTCAGAAATGTTCACTAGGTCTCATTCATTTTTAATAGGCCATTTTTGAACAGTTTCAGGTTAACAGAAAAATTGAGGGCAAAATACAAATAGTTCCCACATAACTCGTCACTACCCTCCAACCCCAGGTTCCCCTATTATTAACAGCTTGCACTAGTGTGGTACATTTGTTAAAATTGATGGACCAATATTGATATAGTATTATTAACTGACTCCCATATTTTACATTATGGTTCCTTCTTGGTGTCGCAGAGTTCTATGTGTTTTGACAGGTATATAATGGCACGAATCAACCATAACAGTAGCACACAAAATCATTTCACTGCCCTAAAAATGCCCTCTGTTCCACCTATTCATGCTTCCCTTCCCTCCTCCTGAACCCTAGCCATCACTGATCTTTATACTGTCTCCATAGTTTTAAATTCCAGGATATTATATGACTGGAAACACATAGTATGCAACACTTCCAGACTAGCTTCTTCTACTTAGAAATATGCATTTGAGCTTTATTTATTTTTATGACTTGATAGCTTATTTCATATTGCTGAATAATATTCCACTGCCTGCATGGACTGCAGTTTATTTATCCCTTCACCTATTAAATAACATCTTGGTTGTTTCCAAGTTTTGGCAATTTATGGAAAGAGTTGCTATAAATGTTTATATGCAGGTTTTTGTGTGGACCCAAGTTTTCAACTCATTTGGGAAAATACCAAGGAGCAGTATAGCTGGATCATATAGTAAGAATATGTTTAATTGTGTAAGAAACCATCAAACTGCCCAAAGTGGCTGTAACATTTGCTTTCCCACCAAGAATGAACAAGAGTCCTTGTCTCATTCACGTTTTGGGATACAATGGCCCATCTTTAAACATATGCTCATATTCTACCCTTCGTTATGATAACTTGTTTTCTCATCCAGCACTTCCGGCAACTTTCTCTGATCCTGTGACACCTGATAAACACCCTTGTACCCCTTCCCACGTAGCATTTAACACATGGCAGTGTAACAATGCTGCTGCAACCCTAGTGAAGCCAGTCTCAGTTTTCTCTTTATATACCCGAACAATGTATCTAAAACAATGCCTGTAAGTCTTCAATAAATGTGTAATTAGCTCATAAGTCTATGCATAAATGAACGCATAATAGCCTATGTTTGTTTACCTTCTTACACAGTAATACAGAAGACAAGTCTGTTGCTTCTAGTGATAAAACTACAGGACTAGAAGGGCCCTAATGGAATCTGAATAAGACCTAGATCAGATTACCATGGTGAGTGGTGCTACTGTTCTGGAGAAAACATCTGCTGGAGAAAGTGCACTGCTCACAAGAAAATGGAGAGAGCTTATAAACAGACCTAATGTTTTATTCCCCTTTGTACAGGGTCAAGCATGTATAAGTCACCCTGAGAGCAGTGAATGAGTGCACTAAACAGAACATTAAGCTATGTGACAGGAGAATTGACTCTATTCTTGGCTCTGTCAGTGACTATCTGTCTAACAATGGGCAAAGTCCCTAGTTGGCTTTATCCTCTGATTCTTCATAGGCAAAATGAGGGTTTTACTGATTAAACTTTAAAAACTTGTGTTTATTTCCTACTACGTGTGTCCCAAATGCTTGCGCCACAGCAGAACTCAGATGGGCAAAGTCCTTTCTTCGAAAATGCTAACATTCTAGAGATGAGGGAGGTGATAGGGAGAAGCAACAAATAAACTAAAAAAGCATATGACAAATTGCAAGAAATGACAGGAAGGAATGAAATGAAGCGATGGAATGGAGAGAGGCTCCCCAGGAATTAATATTAAACCAAGTGGTCCATCAACCTCTATCATGACATGATGTTGAAACTGAGTCCTGAGTGGCCAGAAAGCCAGCCAGCCTTATGAAGATCTGTTGGGAAAATATCCTACAATGAGGAACAGCTGGTAAAAGCATATGAGACAGTTGTATCTTCTAAGATCTCTCCAATCTCTTGGGTTCTAGGATTCTATTGTTGTTTGAGCACACCCATAGCAGGTGTGGCATTTCATCACAGAGGTCATCCAAGAAAATTAATACTGCTCCTGGGAGGTTGTATGCATGCCTGTAAGTGGCAAGCATGATTTTTCAACATAATCTATCTGCCTACCTTTAATAGTTTCTAATAATACTAATACCACCTCTATCTTTACCTCTTCCTTATACAACAGAGTATTTTAAAAGACCATCACTACACAATTTGGCACTCTGAATTGTTTTATATTCCAAGGATCATTTAACATTTGTTTTTGAGCTTACTTAAAGATGATTTAAGCAAAGAACTCTTTTGAAGTCATTGGCATTAGACAAATCAAAATATGACTCAGATGCCAGGAAAATAAATTCATATCTAATTTGCTTAGCTAAAGAGCCTTAATAAGCATTAATCAGTTTTGACGTTAAATTAGCAGAGCCAACATTCTCGGTGAGTTTTACATATTCATTAATTTACCATATTTATTGTATCCAACTTGATTCTTAGGTAACTGTTATACTCATTATTAGATTCAAAATAATAACTTTTTGAATTTATGTAGCCCATAGTATTCTTCACATAATTTACCACAACCAACCACATAGCATCTCCATCTTACATATGAAGAAATTGATACTGAGGAAAACTAAAGAACTTTGCAATGTCCATTATTGGGAGAATCAAGGCTTGGAGGCCAGATCATTCTTCATTAACTTACCCAATTAACCATTAACTTATTCAATCTTCTGAACTATCCTAGGGCCCCAGAAAGTTTCAGAACAAATCAGGATGTACAGTAGGATCATCCTGACCCTTTGTACTCCAATATTAGTCTTTTTCAGAGATTCTGTAGGTACCTCCTCAGGCTTTCTACATGGTCTTTGGTAAATGGAAGCAGTGCTGAGAGTTTTAGACATTGAGTACAGTAGAGAAAGAATAGATATTGAGCTGTCCCTAGTCAATAATCATATTATATCTACTTATACTTGTAATTCTAATTAGAATGATACCAGATAGGCTCCTTTGGGAATGTGAAATTCAGAGACATGAAGGTCTCAACTAACTGGATGAAACCTTTCAATTACCTTGTTTTTAAGCTGATAAAGCAGCCAGAACATCCATCAAATTAATTTATACTTCTCTCCCAAGTCCATAGTGCTCAGGATTGAAGCATATGAAAGAGGTGAGGAAGAGGAGAAGTTCAAGTCAGAAAAGCATTTTGCAGCAACCATCTGGCCATTTTAACCCCGTCTGCAGTACATTTACATGAAAGTCAGCTGAAGTTAAGCAAAAGCCAACAGAAAATCATCTGCACTTACAAAAATGAAAGACTCTTACTGGGAATTTTTTAAGCTTCCAAGAATGACTTTAGCCAAAATGAATGCAGTCAGTATTTCAGTTTAGGAAAAAAAAAAAGGTGCTAGTGAATTAATAACTGCTGCCTTTCCTTTTAGCAGCTGTTCAAAAGCACAATGTTTGGATTGTCGCAATTCCTCAGATTTGAATATGTTGGATTCTTTTGATTATCTGTAATCATAAGGAATTCCTTCTAGAAATTCCAAGAAAATGGGAAACATGATGAGAAACCAACATTATTTCCCAGTCCTCTGGCGTGTTAAATATTTGCTTCCATATAGCGTTTCCAAATGCTTGCTTTTCACTTGGGCTTCCCACCTGCCAAAGTCTTGTCAAGAGAAGTCTCAGCACACTTGCTGTTCATCTGCTCTATGTGCCCTGCAGACTTCTTTAATTGAAGTGCAGTTTGCACACTTTGGAAAAACTCCACCTGGACCAAACCTTTGCAGGAAAAATTGAGGACTAGCCTCCCCAGAAAGTCATAGGCTTCATTTCACTGGCAGGTTCAGCAGAAAGTGCTGCCAACGAGGAAGGACATACTGCCTGAGAATCTTGTATCTTCATGTGAGTCAGCTTTCAATCAGTTGTAAGAAACATATACCTGTTTAAGCAGATTAGAATAGTATCTTAGCCATCTTTATGTCTATGTGTATCTATGCTTATCCATACCTATAAACAATATCCATGTATAATAAAATCACACCAAAAAGAAAGCTAGGAGGAAAAGAATCCATAATTCTAAAAAACTACTGGTAATATTTAAATGTCTTATTGACTTAGATTAAAATTTTCTTAAAAGGCAAATTATGCAGAATATCATCACCTAAAGAAAATTCCCTCTTGATGCTTTGCCTGTTAATTGTTCTTACCTTTTTTCTTCTTGTTATAACTGTTTGGCTAGAAACAATTGAGAAAGCTAAAACATCTGAACTGTTTTTTCATTTGTTTAGCAATTAAACTTCCTCTGTGTGATGTATGTTTACTTAAAGTATCTCCAACTAGTTATTTACAATACATTTTTTAATAGTTGAGACTTTAATTGTACATTGAGGATTAGTTGGATTATTCTCAGACCTCTACTAAAAATACATGAGAACAGTGAGCAGTTTATTCATAACTTGTTACTTTGCTTGTTACTTTGGTCCATCAATGATACTATCATTTTCTCCCTTCATACTTTTAATATGTCTGATTCATAATTCAATTCACAGCCCAGTTTGCTCATGTTTTATAAAGTACCCTACAACGATTTTAAGTTAAATACAGTGCATCCACCTGCTAAATTTGGAACAGAAAAAGATGGGAGGGTTCTCAGAAAAGCTGCATTAAAACTGCAGGCAGATTTTGTAATTTTCCATTCATTATCCCTGGAAAGAATTTACAATATTACTCTTCTTCTGTGTGCGAATACACAATATTATACAATCTTGCTTAATTATGAGAAATTAAAATTAAAAACCTAGAATATTTCCAATGGGGAAAATATTCTCCATCACTATTCCTATAACAACAAATCTGTGTCACTTCTATGTGTATTAAGACATCAGAAGTAGATAATAACACATTGTCACATACAACTGTTGTCTGAAATATTTTTTTTTTTTTTTGGATGGCGGTGTGTCAGTAAATCTGCTTGGCATCTGATAATGACTAACTCATGATAAAGGAGTCTGACAAATCAAATCCCGCTTTTCTCCCAACCTGAAGATGTGAGTTCAGACCAGAGAATGGCTGGGTTCATGCTAAGCTATTACACCTGAAGAAGACACGCTAAATCATCTCATTTCTAAAGGGATAGTCCTTTGCAGCCTATACATTCAGGTTAGCCCTTAAAATGCACTGGGGCTCTTGCTTCTCTAAATTGGGGTTTTCATGAAACACTTCTCCTTACAACCTATCCTAATTTCAGCAAACCTGAACCAGCCTTGTCTGGGCGATCACAGTTGAGGCCTGGTCCACCAAGATGTTTGATCACTGCTTTAGCTTTGCTGTCCAACTTCCATCTGTTAAGAGGAAAATTCCCAGGGTTTGCACAGAGACTTAATAACTATTGACCAAGATAGCCTTAACATTTCTATCACCTTGACTCAACTTAAGACAGATTTCTTCCTGGTTATAGGTCCCTGACCTCTCTTTTCTTACAGCATTTATTTTAGGAAACTTTCCACTGTAAATTCTTCCTCTGCCGCATTCAGATATAAATCCTCTCCCAGCCTCTTGCCAGTTTTACAACCTAGGAAGGTCTTTCTCGGGGAGCTGGGAGCCATCCCTTTGAAATGTAGTCATCAAAGGAGATAGTGCTATATTTCTTAGCCTCTCTAAGAGAGTAAAACCTAATTTTAATAATGGACAATTAGCCAACACAGAAATTAGCCAACACAGATAGCCTAATTACATCAACCAGCCTACTCCTAAGGTCCTCCAATCCTTTCCCATTAGCTCAGCCCAGCATTTAAAAATATTCTTGCCTTTTGTTTTAGAGGAGTTAAGTTCAATCTCTCTCTCCTACTGCAATATTCTTGAATGATATGTTTCTTGCCTATACCCTACTCAATTTTTTCCTATACCCTACTCAATTTTTTTCTCAACAAGAACAAGACAGATGCTCAAATCTAATTACTAACAAATAGTCACTCAGTGTACGAACAGGCTTAAAAAGAAAAAAAAGAAAGAAACTTTTATTCTACAAAATGAAAATGTCCTAGCTACTGCTGAAACTCATTTTCTGAGAGTTGAATTTTTTTAAATTGAAAACCATCTATATTTTTAGGGCTTTAGGATGAGCATGTCCCCTCTTTACGGTTCCAACATCTTTAACTCAAATGCATCCACAGGAAGTAATCCCAGAATTTCCTTTTTGATATATTGGGTCTGAGTCCTACTTGCTTCCAAGTTTGTGCTACCCCTCCTCCCCGCCCATACTCTCCCTCAGGATACTGTTCTATCCCTGAGTTCTTAATGAATAATTCTGATTGATGCTCACTGAGTTACGAGGGTACCAGTGAGAAAGAAGTCTGAATGAAGATATGAGAAAATAATTTGTCCATTATCTTTTTAATGATTCCCTCGTGGTGCCAATTCCCTCCAGTCCTGTAAAACCAGGCGGCAAAGATGAAAGCATATTCCTGCTGATGAGGTCTACTGTGATATGCAGAATGAATCTCATTGTGGCTGATGGCAAAAGGTTAACAAGGAAATGATTAACTCACATACAAAAGCTCCTTCCTCTTCCTGCGCCTTCCAAGTCTTCAACACAAAAGGAAAAGAATACGCCAGGAAAGAAGAAACCATTTATGACTTTTTTCATGTGTGAAAATTCTGATATTTTGCTTTAATTTATTAGTGCCATGTTCTGTTTTATTTTTATGAACTTGTAAAGTCAACTAAATTAGGAGCAAAAAAAATGTGTAACTAAGGTAACAGCATCCATAGATCAAGACAATGAAAAGTAGCAGCAATAAATTTAAAAAAATCAAAAATGCTCTAGAAGTATTTTCCTATAAAATATGACATGCACAAAACTTTGAGTTAATGTTAGTTTTATTCTCTATGAGCTCTCAAAATCTCACTTATAAGACTTGCCCTTGAATAATGAATTATGTGCTTATTGCATACACCTCTCTACTATTTTATATCATGTTGTGTATGTGTGCAATATACACGTGATCTAAATGTAGGTGAAAGATGAATAAAATACTCCCTAGTGCCTAAAAGAAAGAACTGATATTGATTAAAATTTGTTTCTGTAGCACAAGAGAAATTTCATACAAGTCAAATTGTTCAGTATTCAATCTACTTAAATAGTTAAACACAAAAATAATGACTTATATAACTTACAGCGGAAAAGGGTAGTTTGTATTTAATTTTCAGAAGCAATTATTTCATTAAAAAGAACTGTCTTCATCAGAGGTGTTAGCATCTGAAAGGTCTAAAACCTCAAGTGTCTTCAGAACTAGGCAAAAATGTAACATACATGAGTAAAGCCATATAATTCAACACAAAGTATGAGTCAATAAGGAGTATTATTCAGTTGGAATCTGGAAGAGCGTGCCTCTCCCAAGACCTTCAAATTCATTTTTAAAACCCTCTACTGGCCTTCACAACAAGTCTGCTGCCTAGATAGGTGTATCTATCTTTAAGTACGCAATCTCTGAAGTATTGGGTGACCCTGTTTTCTCAACACAAAATTTAATATTTGTATAACTTCAACACACTTAGGATATAAAATCCTTCTTACTTGTAATATTCCTAAGTCAGGTTAATGAGTTGTATTTGAAGTTGTAATTAGTTTGCAAAAAGAAGTATAAACAAAAAGAACATTAATTATTTTAATAATTATCTTTGCCACTTTTTTCACCCTTTCCTATTCTTGCAGGACATACCTGGACATTCATACCAATCCCTATGTATTTCTCTTCTCCTATTATTTCTGAATTATTTTATATGAATGTATTATCTGGGGTATAATTACCACATAATTTCTTAACAAATTCATACAGGATATTTTAGAAATAGATTTCACTTCCAAGTCCTGTCGTTGGAAATGTTTGATATTAGATGATTTGTTTGATCTTCGGTATGTTCCAGAAATTTTCACCCAAGTTCAAATCATTATTTGTGAAAGTACTCTAAGCACTGGGACTTCAAAATGGAAAGGAAACAAGCCTAATGAGTCCTTTTGGGGTTTACAGAAGCATTCAAAAACTTGGAAGGAACAAGAGGCAGTAAACTGATGGATGGTCCCTGTATACGGAGGCATACAACAAACACATGAGTTATTCACAAGTGTGCTTCCTTTAGAATCTGTAGCAGGTTTTCAATAACTATTTAAATTATATCTCATGAACTTTAGAAAGTACTCCAGGAATAGTAATTAATAAATATCAACATTATATATAAATTGCATTTTTAGAAAAGTAGATATCTTGCAGTGCCCCTGAAAATAAAAACTGATTAAATTACAAATCTTAAATCTAATTCTAGTACAGATTTTGCTCTCACTAAAACTAGTTTTTCTCTTATGAGAGAATACTGTACATATTTTGCCATGTGCCAACCACTATGCCCCAGAGCAGTTATCTCAGACCCACCCCCAAAGCTCTCCTGAACAAGAATTAAATTAAGTCTAAAAGTCTCTGAGTAGTAGATATCAGGGAACCGCAGCAATGTTCCTAGTGAATAGACAGCTCAATGAAAAGCAGCTACTATTTTCACAACATGTCTTGATCAGTTTAGGACTTCAGGTCCTACAGCCCAGATTCATACCCATCTGGCAGTGCTGAGAGACACTTAAATATCAGACGTGCAGGCGAGCTAACATAACCACATGGGAACCAGGCAGTCACTCACTCCCGTTTTCTACCACTCACCAAGTGCCACATATTTCCCAATTTCGCTGTCCAAAACACAGGAAGAACAGCGAGGAGAAAGATGAGATGGTAATGTAAGAAAAGCTAATAAAAGAACCAAATGACTCACAAGCAATCTGGAAAGCAGCGTTTAGGCCTATTGCGCCGTGGCATCACTACTCTGGAGAGAAAAAGGCCTTTATCTTTCCCTAAACTGAAACAGCTTAAATTAGGTTTCTGTCCCTGAAAGCATGCAGACATTACCACAAAATGCCCCTTATCGGTCTTTAGAAGGTAAAGGCAGTAGGTTAATATGTATTTCTCTTTTTTTAGTAAAACTAATGTATTATGCCAGTAGTCCCAGGTATAAAATTTTATTTACAGCTAGGGTAATAGCTTGAATCCACAATTTGAAATATGAAATATTCATCTTTTGTATTTTATGATAACATACACACACTTAAGAGAAACAGATATTGCTTTCATTTCGTACTGTTTGTGGATGTGACATTTGGCAGGAGTTCTTCAGCATTTACTTTAACCAGTATGGGTTGTTGACAGGGTGGGAAGATTTAAAAGAAAGGCCCCTTTCCTTGAAATTCTACATTAAAAGATTTGATATAGTTCTGAAGTTTCTTTATCTGTAATTCTCCTATATAAGTGTAAAACCACACACAGTGCAAAACCTTGCAGCCATTCAGTAAAGATATACATGTTTACTAGAGTAATCTTGAACTACTTGCCATATAATTACTAACTCAATCTGAAAATTTAAAAATTGGATTTAAATGTTTTGTCAACAGAATTGTAGACTTCTCTGGGACAACTGAATTTATTTTCCACTACTCAGTTACTTAAAATCAAGGCAAAATATTTCCTACTCATCTAAAGTGTTTTCCAACTTTTGATACATGTACATCAAAGATATTAGAGAAAAATCTTAAAACACAAATAGTCCTACAAATTTGAACCCCACACATATACTTTCTATAAAAAATGAAACACCCTTCCTTCCTTCCTTTTTTTCTTTCTTTCTTCTTTTCTTTCAAAAAATATTTGTTAAGCTTCTGTATGTGCCAGACACTGTTCCAGGTACCTGAAAGACATTAGCGAACAAAACAATGGCTTCCAGCCCTTGGGGAGCTGACAATCCTGTCAGTAAACAGACACCCCACGAATATCTGCCCTGTGACCTTGAGTATTTCACTTCTCTGTGCTTCAGTTTTCTCATCTGCAAAATGGGTATTACTAATGTCTATCCCTGAGGGTTTCAGTGAGTATTAAATAAGTTAGCATGTAAGAAGTGCCTTGAACAGAGTAAGTCATATATAAACTTAATTTTATGATTATTATTCTTTCCAGCTTGTGCCAAGTGTAAATATACAGAAAGAAAAAATATTTGGTCGAGCCATATGAACTTGACATTTTTGTAGGTAATGGTATACGGTTCAACTTATAATTGAAGATAATGGTTCTGATCTCTGGCTACACATCAGAATTACCAGAGGAAACTTTTAAAACTACCAGTGCCAAATTCCTTACCCGACTCCACGCAACACACACAGACAAAGATCTATTAAGTCACAATCTTTGTGAGTGAGATTCTGGGTATTATTTTTAATAAAAAGAAAGAAGAAAAGTTACCAAGTGATTCCAATGGGTAGCAAAAGAAGAATCATACTTGTTTAGTTAAACATCATATTTCACAGGAAATAATAAGAAAATCAGGAAAATCAGGACAGGGTGGTGTAAAGAAAAGCAGAGGGGAAGAGGAAAAAGTAGTCAGTGATACTAAATGCTCCGAAGAAGTCATAAAACAGCAAAACTGCTGTATAATACTTAGGGAGGCATATTCACGTGGGTGTGCCCCAAATTAATTGTTTTCATGGGAAGATGTAGCTACCTTGTTTTTTGCCCCTGTTCCATTTCTAACTGACACTCAGCTGTGGTCCAGAACACCAGATTTAGGAAGCTCAATTGAAAGAAAAGTTCATGGTGAACAAAAGAAAACATTTTTCATTAACTTTCTCCTGTCACTGCAGCAGAGTACCAGTTCACAGATTCAAACTTTAAAGAAAAAGTTTTATAAAGAAATAAAATATATATAAGTCTCTACTAGGATTTATCTGTGTACCGTATCTGGAAGCACAAAATAGGAAGAAAGTCTATTTTTAAAATTCTACCTTTCAGAAACAAAATAATTGTGCTGTCATCTAAAAGTTATCTTATGGCAAGAACATCGGCATCTACCAGTCCAAAAGAAATATTTTTAAGTAGCTACTTTAAAGCATGTGAAGTTACTTATTAGTACTGTAGTTTTCATAGTATGATGCATTACTATTGTAAGAAAACCTTTATAATGCAAACATTTCATTATCAACAATAGAGAATCTTTATTTGAGTCATGTGATGGGTGATTCCAACTGGGAGAATGTTGTCAAGCTATGTCATAAACTACAGTCCCAATCTTGTACTCATCAACATTTTTAAGATGAAGTTATCATTTTAAAAGCTTATAAAATCTGTGAATAATGAGAAAAGCTTGGGAGGAACAGAGTTTATATGATGGAATAAAGATCCAAAAAGATGTTGACAGGTGTGAATAATATGAATATTTTATTTCATCTAAGAGGATGAAATAAAATAATAAAATTATTGTTCACCTGACCTCTTTGGTTGAACTAAAAGCCTGTTCTCTATGCTCCCGTAGGAATTTGTGCATATCTGAATCTCAGACACCATTTTTAAATACAATATCATGTGATAAAGCCCTACAATATTTTAGAATTATAAATTTATCTATTTCCTCAAAACAATGTATGTCTATTCACCTTTATACCATATGTACTCTAAGAGAATGCCTAGCGAATTGATAACTTTCTGCTAAGCTGAACGGAAATATAACTTCATATACAGCAACAACATTTTAAATCAAATAGGGAGATAGCATGAGTGAATCAGAGACTGTAAAATGGACATGAGTAGGGGTATGATAGCTACTTTTAAAGATTTGAGTGATTATAATTAGATGTGAACATAGACCTGTTCTTTGTGATTCCAAGCTAATAGAATTACTCAAGTAACAGTATTAGTAGTATTATTAGTAATTATTCACACAGAATTAGTGGTATTTACAAAGACACACAAACCTTATGTCAAGAGAAGTAAAATCCCTAAAAATAGAAGTGATGGAAGTTTCTTTTTCTTTTTTAGTTTCATAGCCCTAATGTCTTCAAATATACATTGGTGGCCATTTACTATGGAAGAGAATTATTGATCATAATTTATTTGATAAGATTCTCTACGTTTTGGGTATAGTGCTATGCTCTAAGAACACAGGGCCCATAGTACAGTGTTGTGCTCAAAACACTTATTACTTAAGGAGAGATATAAAGAAGTAAATAGGCCATAATAATCATCTTGCCATAAATGCTACAGTGCGGAAAAATGAGAGCACATAGAAAAGATAACTTCCTCTTGGGAGATCAGAGAAAAATTCTTTTTCCTGACTCTACAATTTGGAAAATTGGGTTAGATAGTCTTCAATTTTCTTGAAACCCTAAATTACTATGATTCTGTGGTTTGTCTAGTCTCCACACACCAACCCTGAGAATATTATGCACCAAGAAAATTGGACTACTTAATGTTGAAAGTCAGTTGAAAGGTTTGAAGATGTTTTCCCTGAATAATAGTCCTTCATGAAACATGTATATTACTTTGTCCCCTGCCTATTTTTATTATATATACATACATATACATGAGAAATTTGGCAATTTCTATTGCCTTTAATTATGTTGATTGGCATGTGACAGACAATATTCTGAGGATAGAATAACTTTTTGCTTTCATTCTTTCACAAAATGTTACCTTTGAAAACAGCAAAGTTAGGATTTCACAATTATGTTAAACTCAAGCTACAAATCATATTACAAAAACAAATAACTCAACAAAGGTGACAATTTAACAAAAATTCTTTTCATACATGAGAAGCAATGGCGATAAAAAATACATCATGTATATATACAAACTCTATTTACTGTTCTTGGACATTTTTGTTGTTGGTGGTAGTCATTTGTTTTTTACTTTCTCTTTTCTTTTTTTTAACAGTTTTATTGAGGTATGATTTGTATACAAAAATAATTGCACAAATTTAATGTATGCAATTTGATGAGTTTTTATATGCATACACCTATAAAATCACCCCCACAAAGTACTAGACACATTAACTACATTTCAGTGTTTCCGTGTGCCTCTGTTTTTATTTTTTGATAGTTTTGTTGTGTCTGAGTATGTTTCAAACACAACATGAAATCTACCCTCTTGACAAATTTTTATATGTCTAATACTGTATTGTTAACTATGAGCATTATGTTGTGCAGCAGATCTCTAGAACTTATTCATCTTGCATAATGGAAACTCTGTACCCATGGAACAGCTCAGCCCCTATCAATCACCGTTTTATTTTCTGATTTTTTAAGACTGAACATTTTAGATATTCCAATATGAATGAAATCATGCAGTATTTGTCTCCATGTGACTGGCTTATTTCACTTAGTATGATGTCCTCCAGGTGCATCCATTTTGCTGCAAATGGCAGGATTTCCTTTTTCTTAAAAGCTAAATAATATTCAATTATATGTACATACCACATTTTCTTTCTCCAGTCATCTGTTGATGGAGTTTTGGGTTGCTTTAATACCTTGGCAATTGTGAATAATGTTGCAATGAACATGGGAGTGCAAATATCTCTTTCAGATCCTTATAGCTATTTGCTTTTAATGAAGGTCATAAAATATGATATATTCTTATTTCTAAAATATTTAAATGTAAAACAATGTATCTTAGAAATTTTTTTAACATGAAAAATGTTAAGAAATGCCTTCTTTATCCTTTGTGTAATTCTATACCAAAACAACATATGTGAACCAAAAAATAAAATTACAAAAGTCAGGGTTTTACTATGTGTAATTTAACTACTACATGGGTAAATAAATGGCCATATAGAGAGATGGTTGAGGTCAAATTGAAATTTTCTAAATGTAAGAAGAAACAAAGGCAGATCACAAAATCCACTGACTCAGTGTATGCTAAAGATATATTTCTGTTTGAATTTGATTAAACAAAATATTTAAAATAAAAATATTTTCTTATATAATCCGACCTTTATTTTTATGTGAGCTCCAGTTACAATGAGCATATTTCTCATTAAGTCTCCTTAGATTGTTATAGCATATAAACTAGCCCCTTGAAATTTATCATTTTCAAATTGCAATAAAAATTAAGGACACTGGATCAGAAAGATGGATACTCTGATGTGGTAATTAACTGAACTTTCAGAGTGTCTGACACACTCTACCACAACACTGCAAAATGAGAAATCTAGCAATTCTTTAAAATTCCCAGAACTATCTTGGGGTCAGGACATGAATACTCAATAAAGAAGTATTAAATAATCCATTAATTTTGACCTGTTAACTGTGGTTTAACTTTAATCCAAAACATGGAAGCTGCTATTATCATAAACTCTGTTCTACATGATGCGTAGGTATTTTTAACTCGTCATTTTATTTTATTTTTTTCAGATCTGTATTCTGGCTTGTAGCATTGTCCTGTTTTTTGTAAGCAATTACTGTGTATCTGGGGGCAATGTATCCACTGCTGCAAGAAAGGAAAAAAAGAAACTGACAGAACATCACAAAAACCCAGTAAAAAGTTAGGAGGCTTATGCATAAAAAAGGTCAAATATATTCACTACTATGCTGCAAAAAGATTAAAAAAAAAGAAAAGAAGAAAAAAAAATAAAATTCCAGCTCCTAAAAATGAAAGAAAAGGCAGAGAAATGAAATAAGAAAATAGAAAAAAGAGGAAATAAAGGCTCTGCATTTAGTAACTGAGGATGAATAATCAAAAATACAATGGGACAAAGAATGCTTCAGGGCAACTAATTAGAATTTTAAAATTAATAATTATATGTGACTTTTACAATTAGATAAGGCATATTATATTATTCCAGCTTTGTCTTCCTGTGGCTTTTGTCAATAAACTATATAATAAAAAAGTTAATGAACAATTATAATGTAAAAAAGCAAATAAAGGGGCATTAAATACCCAATATGGTGTATAATATGTAATATACATGAGATATACATGTCAACTATTTCAAATTACCACATAATTAATATTCTAGAATATTCAACTAATTTGGAAAAGTAAAATGTGATTTCATAGATAATAATGTCTCTCAGACAATGTGCAACTATAAAAATAAAACCAGCCACTCAGCATTGCTCATGGTACTAGAGCAAAGGAGAAGTATAAAATCACCTAAAAAATTCAACACAAAGAGTTTAAATACTATATGGAAAAAATCAATAAGAGATATTAGTAAAGCAATACCCATTTGCAAATTTTTTTAAGGTACTTACATTGGGTCTACTCAGCCCAAACCTAAGAATTTTCAATTATCCAATGAAATTGGGCCATATAGTTTGACAAATAAAAAATAAATATTTAAAAATACCCAGTGAAATTTTATCTTGATTGGCATTTTATGTAGATTAATAAATGTCAATGTCTTACTGTCTTACTGCTCACATTTATCCTCTTTCTGTTGTGAATAAACAATCCATATATCATATATAAAGAACCCAATTCAAAAATACAATTGTTGGGCATTTTATTTTTCATTTTAGCTATATTTTCTTTAATACTGAATTATATTACAGATTTTAAATTAAGCATATATGGTATTGTAATTTTTAATATTTTGTTAAGTAAACAAAACACTATATTCATGTCTGTTATAAAATTATGCAAAAGCATAAAAAGCCCAATTATAAAGTAGTATGCTTTTTAGTTCAGTTTTTGAGACTTGTTAGAAGGAATCTTTAACATTCATTTAAATTTATTAGGAGCCAAAAAAAATTAATATCAACCTAAGACTATCTCCCTACTAAGTAAGGTATTTTGTTGTTGTCATTAGCATTTTCTCAAGCATTCAACTACTTTTAGGTAGATATAGTGAATTTGCTATGCAAGTGATTTGGGATCTTTCTAAATGCTTTCTAAATTCTAAAGTGAATGATTATTGAAAATGATTTGCTATATTCCTGCAAAATCCATAAATATACATATGAGAGAATATGCACAGATACACAAACACATGCAGATACACGCATATATAAAATGTGAGCTCCCAACATATTTAAAGGCAGGTCTGTACTCATTACATATATAAAAAATAATTATTTTAATACATAATGTATATATTTTACTATATACATATTAAATAATATATGTAATTTAAAAGAATAATTGTTTCCTCAAAATTTTATGTTTTGTTTATATATAATTATAATCAGGCCCAATTAGGAAGTACTGGATACTCAGTGAACATTATATTAGGTTAAAAAACTGGATTGACATTAAAAATGTGCATTAAATCTTTTTTTGAGCACTTCTATATTTATTTGTTATTCCATCTCATTAGCATAGTTTTCACCTTTGAATAATATTGGAGTATCCTTACTCCCTGATTTATACTCTATCATTCCATGTATTACTGATGCTGGTATAAAACACCATCCCATCCCCACATGGAAATGATCTCTTAGGGTCCCATGATTTGTAGGTGGATGCATCAATCATTGAGCTCACTTAGTCATGACTAACTCCACTTTGTAAGATGCAGCTGACCCAACAAAGCAAACTTACGGTGGCCTCCCACTTCCTCCTCTTCCAAATACCATGCTCATCTGTTCCCCATATGGAGCAGAACAAAAGAGGTAAGAGGAAAGGCTGTTGTTTCTTTCGAGGAGCTTCTTTGACATTCTATGATCAGACTAGTGTCTCTGATAACTTCATAGATCCAGAGTTCTAAATTATATCAATATTTTATATCAAATGGGAAAACACATTCTTTATTTATCATATCAATTCTCTAGATTATGGTGGGTATAACTAGTCTCAAGATAGAAGGCACCACACTTTCTTTTTGGCTGTCACATATTTTTTTTTTAATGCAGAAGAAGGCTATTGTACAATCCAGAGCCAAACAAGGTTAGTTGACCTTTAAAAATGACACATTGCCAGATGCCTGCCAGAAAATAAAAGGGAGAGCAAATTTAACAAGCAGTCTATTTTACAAGTTGGGCAGCCACAGATCTTACTTCAAGTCTAACTTAAACCTTCAAACATTATTCAAGTACGTGTTTCAAATCCCACAGACTTCAAGGGGAAATAGGCTATTTGAATAAACCTGGAGAAATATTTACATCTTATTGTCAAGTGAGCAAGTAATTTTATATACATTCACATATATAGTCTTTATAGTAACCAAGTCAGGTACTCAAAGCAGGAATTTCCATTTTAAAACTAAATATTAATAGATGACATTTTTAAAGTTAAATAACCAGCCCAAAATGTATTTTTAAATACTTATTAGTTTATTCTGTATGCTAGCCTTGTCCCTGTTGAGCTTACAGTCTAAGGGAGGAGCCAACCATTTGAATAATTTACTCAATTAAATATTTAATTATGATTATAATAATTTCTGAAAGAGAAATTTAGGCTGCAGTAAGTATAGCGAGGAAGATCTAGACCTGACTCCAAGGAAAGCTTCTTTATGTAAATGACTCCTAAGCTGACTGGTAAAGGATAGGGATTATTTAGTTGAAGAAAAATACTGCAGAGGAAACAGCTTTTGCTGACACCCTGAGGTAGTAAGGGGCATGATATGCTCACATGGTAGAAGAGAGAGCAGTTGGAAGAGTGGTGCTATAGGTGAGTGGTGAGAAGGCAGGGCAGATAATGTAGAGCTTTGTAGCTGATGTTCTGGACTGTGATCTTGATTGTAACACCAGTAGGATGTCATGAACAGTTTTAAGCACTAACATTTGCATGTCAGTGTGGATGTTAAAAGCATCATTGTGGTTGCAATGTGAGGTGCAAGGAGATATCCCATAAATCAACTGCATACAAAAGTAGTTCATACTAGAGTAGTTTCTGGAGCTTGGTAGATACAAGAGAAGAAGAAAATGAGACAGATTTGATACAAAGAAGAAAAAATGGGGATATCAAAATGACCCTAAATTTTCAGTTTTATATGACACGAATAGTGGCAGTACTATTCATTCAAGATCTTAAACATTATAGAAGAATAAGGGTTGGGGTGTGGGAGGGATCAAGAATTTATTTTAGGACATGTTGAGATTGTTGCCTTTGGAACTCCCAAGATTAGGCATAAACAAATCTGGAGTTAGAGAAGTCTTAACTGCAAATGTAAACATGAGAGTCACTGGCATATACACAGTATATAAACATGTTTGCTCATCTGTGAAGAGAATATAGAACATCAATATTTAAAAACCAGTCACAAGATGAGCCAGCAAAGGAAGTTCAGGAGGAGCAGCCAAGAGAAGCTAGAGAAAGTACAGAACAGTATGATATTGAAAACCATGGGAAGAAATTATATTGAAAGAAGAAAATATTCAACACACATTATAGAATGCAATATAGGCCATTAAAATCATCTCTTTTTGTTCAGCCCACAATTTGCCAAAGGAGAAAATAAAACCACAAATGATTCACGAAAGAGGAGTACCCATAGAATCAGGTTGTAAGAAAGAGTGTTCAATCACACCAACTACCTCTATACAAATTTTTAAACTATAAAATGCTATGTTGCCTCTAAATTAGCAAAAGACGAATATTGGCAAGGATGCAAGGAAACAAATAAATTCACTAACAGTTTTGCTAAAATAAATTGGTACAATAATTTTTAAAGACAATTTAGTAATACATATAAAAGGCCTGAAAATATGTTCTTCTTTGGCACAGTAGTCTTTCTACTGCACTGCTGCATGAAAATTATTTAGAAATCCCCAAAAAGCAATGACTAGAAGTAAGTTAATGGAGACTAACTCACATCATGTTCACAATGTAATAATGTATGTAGTACAGTTGTCTTCATTTTTCAAATGAGTAAACTCGGGCACATGAAGGTTAAGTTAACTTTCTTAAGGCTGCATGTTAGTAAGTGACAGAGGAACAATTAGAATATAGGCAGTTTGAGCTGAGAGTCTGCACTGGATATAATTCTGCTATGTCCTTCTGATCATTTTTCCTTTTGTGTCATGTTGTGCAACGTCTATTCCCCTCTATTAGCCTTCAAGGGTCTTGAAAACCAATCTTACATCTGATTCACCTCTCTCTGCACCACCCCCCTCCATACACACACACACACACACACACACACACACACACACACACACACAGTATCTGGAATATACCAATTGTTGAATGGTTTTGTTGAGTAAGTAAATGAATGGATTTATAAATCTTAAAATAAATGAAAAGAACCAAATAGCTTATAATTTGAGGATAACATGTGTGCCCCCCAACTTTCTCCTACACAATAGTGTCTTCTTTACTCCTGCTACCACTACTACTACCCCACCACAGCATCCTTCAAAAGTTCAGCAAGTAGTTCTTTTTGTATCATTCAATCTCTAATATTTCATATTCAGTTGACTCTGAACATTTGTATTAGGCATTTATTTTTTATATATCTAATACTGTGCTAGATCCAATGAAAACAAAGATGAATTCAACATAATTCTAAATTCAGAGAGCTTACAGCTCTCAGGGGAAAGCAAATGTAAATACCCTGTTTGTTCATGTGTTATATATATTATCTGAAACTATGTAATGGAATCAACACCATGATAAATTTATAGACAGGGTGCATGAGAAACAAAAAGGAGGGTTAGTTAGCCCATTTGGGATCTGGGAAGGGGGAGATAATACCTGAAATGAATCCTGAAGCATCATTATATATTATCTAAGTGAAGGTTAGAAAAAGCAAGAATGTTCCAGGAGAGAGTAAATGGCATGATATATGGAAACAGTGTGTGTGCACACATGTGTGTGTCTTGAGGATGGTGAGGGTGGGGGGATGATCAAGAAGGGATGTTCTATGAATTACTTGGAAATGAGCCCTCAGTTTTCCTGTGCCACTATCTAAATGTACAGTCCTAGTCTCTGCATCCTTACTTACCAGTAAATACACTAGACTAGTTATTGTTCAGAATTCAAAATATCACATATTAAGGCATATTAGTTTCAACAAGACTATGCAAAATTGTAGAAAAGGCCTGATTTGGTGACCCTCATTCCATACCATGCAACTTGTTGTCACTTGAAAAATGCTTTAATTCCTCCAAGAAGCCACATGTTTTCATGTTAGACCCCTACTATATATTTTAACCCACTTCCCCACATAAATCATTCACTGACATTATTAGCCAGTCTGTTAATTTAAAATAATAGATAATAGTGGTGTTACCTCTTTAAAATGCCATATTTCTCTTCTAATGGTCAACTTCTGTGCTTCAGTTCAATAATGGTAATGCTCCACATAAGTTTATCTCTTTATAGTGTATAAAATACTTTTACATATACTTCAGTTGCTATTTATAATAACCTTATAATAAAAGCAAGGTAGCTCTTGTTATGCCATTTTTTAAGATGAAAATAATGGACTTCAAATTAATTGAGCCTTTTGAAGTCACACAGTCCACAATACAACCAATAATAAAACCCATTTTGTTTATGTCTTAGTAGTCAAAATTTTACCCCTGCCACCTACCAAATCATGTTTTCACCACCTAAAGACACAACCAGTGGTTTATATATATTTAAAATAATATTTATAAATATATTTAAATACAAATAATATTAATATATGCTTGTATTTCATATACATATATTTAAATATTTATGGTTAAATATAAATGTATACCTATAAATATATATTTGTATATTATTATAAATATAATATATTTTTGGGAGTCCTTTGGTTATGTCTTCCCGCTATACCAAACAGCCTCTTATTCTGGCTATACTGATTTCATCTGTGTTAAATCCTTATATTTATCTCAGGGTGGCACTCTCATAAATCAGCACTTGAATGTTTTATTAACAATCATATGGTTTAAAAATAATTCCACATTTGCTCTTTGATAATTTTAACCTTAAAAATTAAGACCTTTTGCAAAGACATGGAGTAACTTTTGACTGCTCCAATAGCCTAATTGTTTTTATTTTTGGGTTACAGTCATGGTTGCATTTTTGTAAGTATTTTTCCTTAAATAATTTATCCCTGGCCTTTTACTCACAGTGACTGGAAGACAATTTTTGACAGGTAAGCAGAACCCTGTGAGGCTAAAGCATAGAAAATGTCAGAGTGGTCACTAGTCAGTCAACAAGAAAACAGACAGAGGTAAGGAGCGTGTTGGCAATATGTGGGCACTGCAAGATGCCTACAGAGAATATCTCACTGTCCCTTCCACCCTTAGGCAACCTTAACAAGTATATTTTTATTTAGAATGGCTTGTTCTTATTCATTACTTATATATGACCAAAATCATACTCACTACCCTACCCCTCCATCATCTCAACCATTTATTTTCCTTCATATTGTTTCAGTGAATTACATCACCATCGCCAACCCAAGCTAGAAAACTGAGTCATCATAACACACTGCTTTTCTCTATTTTCTCTTGTTTAATTTTCCTCAAATGTGTTTTTTAAATCCTTTTTCACAGCTGTGATCTTAGTTCAAGACCTCAACATTCTCACAAGAATGACTATAACAATCTCAAAATTGGCTGTCTGAGTCACGTTTCACTTCCCACTCCACCTCTACCCTGCTACCCCAATTAACTTTGTCTCACAGATCTTTTTATATACTTTCTCCTTTAAAAGCTTTTGATGGCTACCCAATAGATAGGATAAATCTTAAACCCCTTGTAAGTTTTCCACAATCTGGTCCCAGTCATATCTCTGATGACATACTTGCCTGTACCAAATGTACAAACCCAACACCAGGGAAAAAAATTCTAACCTAAGCATGAGTCAATAAGAGTTTTACTTAGAGCAAATTTACAAGAACTGTCTGTACGCTAGGATTGTAAAGATACAATTTATCTTTCCTTCTTAGTAAATGTTAGCCCATCTTAAGCTGTTGTAAAGAGATATAGCTGTTTCAGGGATAAGAATAGATGCAGCCAGATTGGTCTTCCCTTTTGCAAAACAAGCTAGTTTGTTTAATTATACAACAAAATGAAACAGGTTTCTTGTTTCACTTTCAGAACCTTTTACATATTAACTTGCATTTTGAAATTCCAAGGACAGAATTTAGAATGAATACTCCCCAAGCATTTTGGGGTATGGAATACTATATTCATAGAACACGACTTGTTTAACATCTATCAGACGCCCCGCCCCTGCCGTAACAGAGTTTGGCAAATACTGTATACACTCTATTCACATTAAGATTCAAATTATTTCTCAGAAAATGGGGTTGGATGGGGGAAGATAAATGAAAATGACAAAGCAGAAAACACAGCAACCTGTGGCCCTGAAATACATGCATTGGAAGGGGAAGGGGTGTGATAGTTTGACAAGGAGGTGAAGCACATGATTCCCAAGTCCAGGAAATGGGAAAGAGGACTTAGGGGCCTAAATTCAAATTTAATCTACTTTTTGTAGATCCTGTTTCTTAGAAGGTTAATCTAAAATGCTAAATGTCAATGAAGCATTATTTAGAATAAAAGAGGAATATTACATATATATGTAATATTATATATATATGTTATATATATATATACACATATTAAATATTGACCATCCCTCCTAAGTCAGATAGAAGTTTTTTAAACACTATCAGAAAAATAGATACATTAGGCATGGATACAAAAATTATAGTTCTAAAATATTCTTACTATCTATAAGATCATAGCTGCTTTTATAAGAGCTAGGCATTAACAGTTAAAGATAAAAAGCAATGCATTATGTGAACTATCTATCAAATTTCTCTGTCCTGTTCACTTTGAATATTTAGTTTATTAATGTAATATCATTTACATGAATAAATATGCCTAAAATTTCCAAAAAAGTCAAGAAATTAACTTAAACATTTGAACACTATCTAAATGAAACTCACAGCACTCTAAGTTTTAGTATTTCCATATTAACAACAAGAAGAAAAAGTGCATATTGTGCAATTTATTTCTTGAAAATGAACTAAAAGTAAAAACTAAAACAAGAATTTGGCATATGCAATTTAATTTAAGGACCAATAGGAACAAGCTTGAGTTTAATGTGTGAGCAGGATCCACTAAAAGACCAAGCATCATAATTGCAATTGAATAGCTCAACAACAACAAAAACAGCTCCAAACTCTCTACCTTCAAGGAACTTGAATAAATTCTGGCAATTTCAGGTTTTACATTTCAAAAATAACTGTCCTCATTATTTTCTACTTCACAGCTTCTAAGTGGGAAGAATTTAGGTCAGAGTTGAGACTGAGTTAATTGTAGTAACTGTCAACAAATAGTCTCTGCCCCATGTTTCATTTTTTTATGAAAAATAAATGAGTGTGGGGCAAGAAAATTGACAATCTTATGGAGACAAGAATGTGTTAGCGCCTGTATTTGCATTTTAAAATTACTTTTGAAGAAACAATAATGGGCTTTCTACATTCCTTCCAAGACATTAAAGACGGCATTACACGGTGGCCTGTATTTGCTTTTCTGTCTCCCTAATAACTATTATGAGTGTTTCTTTCTCGACTCCAACATAGGTAAAATCAGCTCCATGGGGCAGCAAAGAAACTGTAATAGAAAATGATTCCAATTAAACATAACTTGGAAAATGACCTTTAAACTTTGCATTGCCAAAAAATATTTGTTTAAAACAGCATGAAAATACTATAACAACAAGGATGTTATGTTTATATCATTCGTGGCATCACAAAGTCAGTGTCTGAAATAATGGATCATTTTCTGCTCCTACTGATTTATTTTTTCTTTGTATGGCTTATAAAAATTTCTCTCACTTGGTTAAAGTCACATTTATTTGCATCAGAGAACATTTTTGGAAGAAAAATGTTCTGTGAAAATCTCAAAACATAGAAACCAAAAAAGGCACTTGGTCTCAGGCAGCACTGTGACCTTCAGGGCATAGCACACCTCTAATTTGCCTCAGATTCAGTGTGAGGCTCCACTTCTGGTAGATATGTAGGGCAGAAGAAATTTTTTTAAATGAAAATTCAATATGTCAGATGGTGATGGGAACTATGGAGAAAAAAGGAAGGAGACCAATAGGTAGTAAGGAGCAGGTAGCTATTTTATCTTGAAAGATCAAGGAAAGTCTCATGGAGAAGGAGCTATTTGAGCAGAGACCTGAAAAAGTTGAGACAGTGAGTAGTGTGAGTACAAAAGAATCCATCAAGAATGAAAAGTGCAAAGAGTTTCACAAGGAAGCATGCTTGACAGTTGGAGGAGGGCAAGAAAGCCATACTCTACTGGGCACTACACAGGTTGTCTAATTTTCTTTGGTTAAACCTAGTTTTGGAAGAGAAAGGATGGGAAATCTTGCTGAAATATTTTTTTTAAAGTTACTATATAATTGTCTGTATTAGAGAATAAAAATTGTACTGAGTTGAAGAGTGTCCCTCCAAAATCCATGTCCAATCAGAACCTAAAAATGTGTTCTTATCTGGAAATAGGGTAGTTGTAGATGTAATTGGTTAAGATGAAGTCATACTAGATTAGTATGGGCCATAAATCTAATGACTGGTGTCCCTATAAGAAGGCTATGCATTATGGAAAACAGTATGGAGATTCCTCAAAAATTTAAAGATAAAGTACCATATGCTCCAGTAATCCCACTGCTAGATATATATCCAGAGGAAATGAAATCAGTATGTTGGAAAGATATCTACATGCCCACGTTCATTGCAGCATTATTCACAATAGTCAAGATATGGAATCAATGAAAAGTGTTAATTAATGGATACATGAATAAAGAAAATGTGGTCTATACACACAATGAAATACTGTTCGGCCATAAGAAAAAAATTCTGTCATTTATGACAATACAGATGAACCTGGAGGACATTATGTTTAGTTTAATAAGCGAGGCACAGAAAGACAAATACTGCATGATTTCATTTATATATGGAATCTGAAAAAGGTAAACTCATAGAACTATAGAATAGAATGTTGGCTACTGGGGCTGGGGAGCAGGGAAGAGAGGTTAGGTAGATGTTAGTCAAAGGATACAAAATTTCAGTTAAATAGAAGGAATAACTTCAAGAGATCTACTATGCCACATGGTGACTTTAGTGAATAACAACGTATTGTATACTTGTAAATTGCTAACAGAGGCAGATTTTTAAATCTCCCCACAAAAATATGTTAATTAGCTCAATTTAACCATTCCACAATGTAAACATATTTCAAAGTATGTTATACATAGTAAGTATATACAATTTTTATTTGTCAATTTAAAAAATATATTTTTTTAAATTGAGAGAAAAAAAGAAAAAGGCCAGATGAAGACACATAGACACACAGGGAAGAAGGCCATGTGGCAACAGAGACAAAGACAGGAGTAATGCATTTACAAGCCAAGAAATGCTGACAATTATCAGTATCCACCAAGCTAAGAAGAGGCAAAGAAGAATGCTTCCCCAATGCCTTCCGAGGAAGCATGGCCCTGATGACATCTTATATGTAGTTCCCAGAACCCTGAAGAGAATGCATTTCCGTTATTTTAAGGCACCCAGTTTGCATTTTTTTGTTAAAGCATCCCTGGGAAACTAATGTAGAGATCTTGTTTTATATAAGATGCACAGTTTCTAGGTTTCCCATTATGTGCCAGTTAGCACATAATATCAGTCTCCACCAGAACCCATTCCTCAAAATGTCCTGCCTGTTAACTGAGAAGAGAGTGCTAACAATGTAGCACTAGCCTCAGTTCAAGAGCGACCAGGGCAGCAGCGGCATTATCCTACTGAAGAACTTGGCCTGGGGCTTACCTCTCATAAATTCATCCACTGCTGCCACTGACTTCAAGTAATCATTGTAGTATTGACTACACACGCCAAACTCCTGGTGCCTTTCCCTAAAGCAGCTGGCCACAGCCACCTATTCTCAGTGAAAGTTGCCTAGGTCTTTCAGTGGCTGATGAAAGATTAGAGGTTTCCTCTGTTCCCAGAAGGCACCCACACATGCAGCCTTCCTCAGCCTTGATGTGTCAGTAGGTAAGCCTTCCCTCCCCACATGTTGGAACAGTCATGTCATTGGATGTCCTTTGTTTGCACAACCTCTGTACTGACTCTTCCTCCATTCCAGCAACTTAGCTATGATTCATCATTTTCTAGGAGTTACATGGGGAGAATTAGTGGAGACCTTCTCATTTCAACAAGTTGTTGATGTTTCCTTTGCCAAGTGGGGGACTACCAGACCACAGGGAAGCAGTTTCCTCTCAGCTCGGAGCTCTGCTTTATCAAATCACCCAAAGAGAACCCAAAATTTGTTTTATGAAGTCTCATTTTGACAGAGAGAGGCAGGGATAGTAATCTCAGCTTTGCCACCTGTATGAAGAACTTGGGGAATAATCTATCAGTCAACCTCTCCACAGAGACTACAATTCCCAAAATATTCCCTACAAAATGTGAGGGAAATTCCCGAGCATTCCCAGAGTCTCTTAGGAAGACAGGAAAGAGTACAGGTAAGAAGAGCAGCCTCTGAGAGGAGAGAAGAGTGGATGGATTGAGGCAGGAAGGTACCAGCTGATCAAGACCCTACTTTGCTGCTGGAACTTCACTTCTAGGGATTCAAATTTTGTTCAGCTAAGGCCAAATGAACTTCTAAGGGCTGAGAGTTGCATACCAGTGTCCTAGTGTCCTTCATAAGTGCCTGTGGCTACAGTTCAGCTAGTGGCCCATTGCTCCTGTTAGACACAGAGGGAAGGGAAGGACATATGCAGACTACGAAACTAAAATGGTTTAATCAGGTTTGAGCCTACGCTGAATGTCAATCCCATGAAGATAATCATGGAACAGCCTAAAAGAAAAGCTAAATTAAGAGTGTAATACTCACATGATGTGGGTCACTCAGATAAAAAACAAAAACAAACAAAAAAAAAGCAGTGTTTTTCCTGTAGTTTCCACATTTTCTAGAGAAAGCTTAGGAAAAGCTAAAATATTATTTCTATTTTATTATTAGAATCCAGGAAAGGAAGATGTTCTCTTAAATGAGTAACAAGCAGAGCAGACAAACATTTGTACCCAGAGTTTAACTCAGGTATAATAGGTAAGGTATTTTTGAAATCCCTATGCCTCATTGCCATTATTGAATCAAGCAAAGGGTAGATGCCACCTTAGGAAGCATGATAGAATAAATTTTTCTGAACAAACAGAAAGAAGGAAGGGACAGCTGTATTCTTTTTTCATTAGTGAATGCAGAATGAAGAGAAAGTTGGTGGAAAATAGATAAGAAAGTACCTAGTTCCTTATCTCTCTTCTTGGCAATGAAGTCATGGAAAAAGGACCATGTTAGACAGGTTAGGAAGAAAACCATTGATAGACAGATTTTGCCCTGTTTTCTACTTAGAACTATAGGAAAAGGCAGTTTTGCAGTGTTGCCGAAGCAATCTGGGGTAGCCACAGGGTTAGGGAGATGAAGTCCTGACCTCCCCTGTAGTAAGTCTGATCAGATTCCCATTTGGCATAAAAAGTACCAGCAGGCCTTGTCAGGGAGAGAGAGGTAGGAGGGAAGATCACTGCAATGAGAGAAAAGTGACCGTTTATCTGAAGCCTACAGTGTAAACCTAGTTTAGAGATCAGGTAGAAGTTACAGCTGGATCTCAGGCGAGAAGGAGGTAGAGCCACATCAGCAGGAGGGATTCGTGACCAACCTGAGAAATAATTAAACAGGCAGGCACTCCCTGCTACAGTCAGAGGATGCTAGCAAGACACTCAGCCCCTAGGGAGAGTAGGGAGCCAGAGATCAGAGGAGACAAATCCCAGTAAAGTCTTGCGGATATAAGCATTAAGATGTGCACTGTCTTCTGTGCTGCCAGGAGATGACATAGCTCCCCCTGACAAAAGCATCACCTTGGAGAGAAGCAGGGGAGGAGAAAATCTAGAAGACTGCATAATTTAATAGGGATAAATATCTAAAAGAAACTGAACTTATCAGATGGATTGAATTTAGTTTCATGTGTTACTTACTTACATATTTGCTTTTATTTCCCCTGGCTGCACCACAAGAGCACATCAAATGTAGAAAACAAGAAAACCACATCATGATTGCACATCAGAGTATACCTAGAATCGGTTGAGATCATCATATATGATAATACATGAGCAAAGTACCAATATTTCTGGTATCACTGCAAGGTTTATTGAAATCTTCAAGAAAACTCTGTCACAGTGACCATTTACAGATTTCTTTCCATACTTTCAGGAAACTAACAAACCAAAAATAAAGGTGAGATAAAAAAAATCTGTTGAAGGCATAAATTCAACTTCCAATTGCCATATGGATAGGATAGAAAAATAAGGGACTACCTTCATATTTTATTCTAAATTATACTTTCAATTGCTGCATGATTAAAACCATGTTAACAAGCATTTTACATGAAAGTAGCTATTCGCAATGAGGCATTGTTAGTTAAGACTCAGATGGCCAGGTCAAGTTTCTCAAAGAACTCTGCTCTCAGAGGGTAAATAATTACTAAATACGGTGCCAAATTTCAATGGTCTATCTGATTTAGGGAAAGAGATCCTCTGAACTTTAAAGAAGCAAGAGATAACCTACCTGAAAAACTCAGGAATACATTTTAAAGAATTATTTTCAAGAATGTCAACTGGTGGTAGAAGTAAAAATTGATCAATTGCACATTAAGTAAAGTGACTGCACTTTCGATTTGTAAAATTCTTGTGATTTTAATCAAATGATTTATGTAGAACAGATTACATTACAACCAACATACATATTACAAGAACACTCATTTAAAGCACATAACTGCAATATTTAATCATTTATTCTGTGAATAGAACATGATAGGAAAGAATAGAGGCTTATTTTATATAATTTGCATGTAATTTTTGCTACACAGGCACTGAGCTATTTCACATCTTTCCCCTTAAGGCAATACATATGATTGTGCTAAAAAAATTATACATTCCAAATTAAATGGTAATAGAAATTTGGGATTAAAAACAGTACAGAAATATAAGATCTGTGTAGAATAAATTTTATTTAAGAGAAATATACTTTGTGAATATGTCTAAGAATGTAAGCCTCTCTAGACCTCTAGACATTATTTTTATAAAGTAAATTAGAAAAAATCTCACAGGACTATAAAATTTTCATGCACAGGAATTGTGCCCTGTTCTTGTTGAGAACTCAGAACCTTGCATCAAATTTCACACTGATGAAATGCAACACAAATATATGTTAATTTTATTGTTCTTCAGAGAAAAATACTTACTTTTTATTAAATGTGCAGGTGTATATATGTTTCAAATTAGAAACTCTTCTCCAAGCCTCTTAATTTGTTGTGGCTCATCTTAAACCAAGACAGATATGGATTCCTTAAAATTAAAGATTTTTACATTTAAACCCTAATTGAGTAATCAGCTGAACTTTACAAACAAATTAATATATGAAAATACATTAAAACATTACAGAGCTTTTATTTATAAAGTCGTCTTGTCCTTTGGAATATCACTTCTGAAACACAAGTTATTTTCAGGCATTGCTCTGTGTCTGTAGTGAGCTAATCTCGGAAACAATCAGCTGCTTGCAATCCCTCCATGTGCCTGCAAATATCTGTAGGTGTGAAAATGTCATAAACAAAAGAAAAAGTTCCTATATTAAGCCCATACCTTACTGTGAAATGAACTAGATCAGAAGATGAAAATCAAAATTTCTATTAAGTATTTTCTGCAGTCAGGTTATTGAAGGATTTATTGTTTTTGAAGTAAAGAATTTCAGATAAACAGAAGAGGCCAAAACTCTAAAATGATTAGGTTTCTTTTTATCAGTTTTGTTTCTGTTTGGTGCCAACAAAAGTCCACTAGCTTTCTGCTTTGTTAACTGAGTAGTGAAAGAAAGAAAAAAAAAAAAAACACACACACACACTCACAAAAATTGAAAGAACTCCCCTCCCCCGGCACACAAAATTAAAATAACCCATACAGCAGAATCAGGACATGTTTGCTTGTTTGCTTTTCTTCTCAGGATTGTCCACATCACATCTGCCAATCCTGAGTCATGGTAACTCCAGTTAGTTGTCTTGGCAAAGGAAATGTTGGAACCAAGGAAATCTGTGATATTCTTTTCTTATTTCCTAATTTATCTTTATATTAAAATGATATTAGAAAAAAATTATTCTGGCCAGGCGCTGCAGCTCACAACTGTAATCTCAGCACTTTGGGAGGCTGAGGCAGGCAGATCACGAGGTCAGGAGATCGAGACCATCCTGGCCAACATGGTGAAACCCCATCTCTACTAAAAATGCAAAAATTAGCTGGGTGTGGTGGCACACACCTGTAATCCCAGCTACTTGGGAGGCTGAGGCAGGAGAATTGCTCAAACCTGGGAGGCAGACACTGCAGCAAGCCGAGATCCCGCCACTGCACTCCAGCCTGGCCAAAGAGTGAGACTCCATCAAAAAAAAAAAAAAAAAAAAAAGAAAGGAAGGAAGGAAGGAAGGAAAGAAGGAAGGAAGGAAAAGAAAAAAATTATTCTAGTCTTTTTGGTGACAGCAGATGCAACTGAATTTTCTTCTGATTTACCTCTAATAAGTAGATTGAGCAAAACCATTAAAAATGAACAGAGGAAAACAACAAAGCAAAGAGATTATTTACAATTAAGCAAAACAATCACTTCAAGAAATGAGTATTAATCAGGGAAGCTGGTAAACTCAATTTCAAGATAGAAAAAGAAAACAAAAATTTCTGAAACTTCTGGAGACACAAAATTTAAACACTTTCATGTGTCTGCTCCCATTAAGTTGCCAGATGTAAATGTATAAAAAGAAAATTTGATACAACAAAGGAAATAGGATATCATCTATTTCTGCTATGTTGGCCTCTGCAATAAACGCTTGTGCATTATATTTTTGGGAAAACTCAAAATCTAGAGAGTATTGGGGAAAATATATACATGCATTTGATAGAAATGCTACCACATTCTCTCTTACTGCAAATATTGAATAATTACATTTATTGGAAAAATCAATCTGGGTTTATCTGTATTCTTAAGGGAGAAAAGGGAAACAATTAAATTTGTTATGAAACTGTGTCCTCTGAAAGAGAGAGATGACAACTTCCTAGTTGTCATCTGGTTATAAGCTTGGCTTTGGAATCAAAAATCCTCAATTCAAGTACAGCTTTCTACATTCCCTGGCAGTTATGATTTTAGGAAATTTTCCAAAGTTTTCTAAGTTGGAGTTTCTGCTTCTTCATGAGAAATTTTCTTAAAAACATAATAATTTCCTCTTAGAGTTGTTATGGACATAATTATTAGATTTCTTATGTAAATGCTTTGCACAGTACTTAGCACATAGTATATGCATGTATTCCTGTTCTTGCGGTAAATAAATAATGGATAACTGAAACCACAATCATTAATTGATCAATTATTGTTAATACAAAGGCTTATATCAAAGGCCACTATGAATTTTCTCTTAGAAATATATCTATTATATTTTTCTGTTATACCTTCCTCAGGATATAGTAATACTATTGAGAACAATAATTATTATATAAGGATGATAGCTAGCACTTACTGATACTGGCAGTATGGTAGACACTTTTCTACATATTCTAATAGTTTAAAATATGAAATTTCACACCACATTTATGAGGCATGTACTGTCATTTTCTCCATTTAACTGAGGAAACTGGGCCTCAGAGGCAAGTACTAACTTAGCCAAGGTCACATAAGCTGATGAGTTGGAAGCAGGATGGTTTGAAAACCGAGGTAGACTTTCCAGAACCCATATATACAATCTTGTGTCCAAAATTCCTTCCAAGACAAAATATTTATTTCAAAGTAGTCACCAGGGGCTCACGCCTGTAATCCCAGCACTTTGGGAGGCCGAGGCGGGTGGATCACGAGGTCAGGAGATCGAGACCATCCTGGTTAACACGGTGAAACCCCGTCTCTACTAAAAATACAAAAAATTAGCCGGGTGTGGTGGCGGGCGCCTGTAGTCCCAACTACTCGGGAGGCTGAGGCAGGAGAATGGCATGAACCCGGGAGGCGGAGCTTGCAGTGAGCCAAGATGGCGCCACTGCACTCCAGCCTGGGCGACAGAGCAAGACTCCGTCTCAGAAAAAAAAGAAGTAGTCACCGGGGATTTAACTGCACAACCCCCACTGATGATGGCAATCCTGCTGAATCACTATGTACTTTTTAAGCAATTCACTTCCAAAGGTTCTAATAACTTGTTTTAATCTAGGCATAGTCTCAGAAAAAAAGCAGTAATGCATAATGATATGCAGTGATCCAATTCGTTTTAGGCTATGTTGTTCATTAATGAATATAGTTTAATTTTTAATTGCAGCAAGAATCATTTGTTAAGCCATTACATTTACTTTTTTATTTTGTTCTAGCTTTAAAATTGTAGGAAGGGGACAATAACTTGTTTAGCCACTACAAAGCTGAATGCAATTCTGAACCAAACACACAAACTCACCTGCACACACACATATTTATTTACACACTCATTTATGGATAAAACATTTATAAGAATATAACTCACTTAAGCTATTCATAGAATCAGTAAAGTTCAGAAAAATATATATCAAATATTCTGTTTAGAATAATTCTCTTTATACCATTTCTAAGGCGAAATCTACCTATTCATTAAGGTGGCATAGAAATTAATTAAAAAGGAACTTGAGTTTATTCTGTAAATCCAGTCCTTCAAAATTTCCTACAACTCCTTGTGATTCACAGATGAATGTGATATCTTGAAATGTTACTAAATTTATGAGACAATATTATGCAATGATTTAAAGTTCTACTGTTTCTTAACTTTGTGATTTTGGCAATTTATTGAACAATCTTTACAATGGGAGTAACAGAAATTTCACTTGAAAGAAATATTGTGTGGATAAAAAGAAAGGATGTCTATAAAAAGAAAAAGTGCCATACATGGCAAATATAAGTGCTCAATAATCATAAGCTGCAGTTAATATAAATTTTTATAGTCAAAATATTATAGAGCAATGTTTGAAGTTGCCAGCAAATGTTATATTTTCTTGGACAACTTCAAGTACAGCAGGTAGAAAATGGCTTATTCATACTGGATATTCTGCTTTACCCTTTCTTCATTCTTTGATTAAAAAAGAAAACCATTTTTCCCCTAAGTGTTCCTCTATGGAATTTCTGTTTCCTTTAAGCTGTTACTGATGGTCAGCTACAATCTCAAAGAACCTTATGCTAGAAGGAGGATATAAAATAATGTCTACTCATAAGCACATGATTACCAAATAGGGAAGTGTCTGTTTTCATTCCTGTTGAAGGAATGAAAGCTTAAGCCTTTGAAATTAACATCTCATATTTTTCATTGTTCTCAATGTACAGGATTCTATTCAGTTTTATAATCTTTTATCTGTCTTCCAGAAGGTAGACAGATGAGATGTTCTTGTTTGAGGGGAAAAAAAGGTATTTTTTGTCCACCATCAATGTGATCTTACTTTAGATCAATACAAGAGTCTCAAACTTGAAATCACAAATTTTGCAGCCATGAGTCCTCAGAATCACACGTAAGTCTGTATGTTAAACTTCACAATGGAATTCTAGGTGTGCATTTATGTTATTTTACTTTTTTCTTTTACTGCATCTTATTTTAGTCCAACCACTAGAGTTTTCTCTACATATTAGTATTATTCAAGTACCAATATAAGTACCAAGGATATTAAAATAAGTTAAAATGTGTTACCCACATCAATAATAAAGAATTAAAGAATCATTATATAGTGACATATCCAAGAACACAAGTGAACAGAGGATTATGTATCTGACTAAATTTGGCCACAGAAATGATCAGATGAGACCAATTAGAAAAGCTTCCTGGAAAATGTCTGTTTTGAAATTGGAAAGGCACATGCAAGAAAAGGCCTGGAGGCAGAACCCCACAAACATACAAGCCAGAATGATAAGCATGGATAGAGCAGAAGAGACCACCATAGAGTAACCAGACTTAAACTTGATGAAATAAAGGTAGATAAAGATAAGCCCCTGGAATGTCTTTTTGACAAGTTGTTTTCAGAGAATAATCAGAAAATGTCATCTCTAGCCAGTGTTAATAGAAGATGCTGAAGAACTTTCATGAGCTGATACAAGTTTCTGAACCATATGTGGTTTTTTCGGAATGGTGGCATTTGTATTCCAAAATGACACACGGCATTAGACAGCTTAAGGTAGCCAGATAAAAAGCAATCAGCAAATCATGTAGCCATTATTATATCCTTACTCCTCACCCCTTACGAAGCCACTTCTGAATATTATTTATTACCTGAACGATTTTACAATGTCTATGAAATTGCTTTGTCGATGCCTGCAAAATTCCATGCTATCAGCTAGGGTTTCAGCAGAAAAGGTACTACTGGTTGTGTGTTCTTTTATGTGCTAAAGCATCAGACACCCCCAAAATAAAACTTTATTGATTAGAAATTGTAATCACCCTAGGACTTTCAGAATTTATGCTAGTACCTGTTGGCTGCATTTCAAGAGCCAATTAACAGACAAAACATCAGTTTCATTATATTTTTGCACTGCTTTGGTAAAATGTATCAGAACTTACCGGAGAACAACAAAAATCACTCTCAGATCAATGTAGAATCCACGTTCCTTGATTTCTTGGGTTATAGCTTCAATAAACCCCACAGGAGAGATGAATTTCTCGAAGATGAAGTTAGTACTAGGTGAGTTGACATGTATGGACTAAATGACCCCAATTTCAGAGTCTTGGCAAGGATGAGGGCTTCAGGACTAGCAGTTAGACTGGCACTCCTGACTTGTATCAGAAATATATCTTTTCTGCTGCTATAATAGATAGCTCATTCAGAAAAATATCTGTATACGGATAGTAACATAGATTATTCAAGACTGACAATGTCTAAAGGAGGTAGCTTTAAATTAGAATTTAGAAAGACAGCAAAAGAATTTGTTGAGAATGAAGTGATACTCTAAATAAGAATTGTGTATAACTGACCATAAAATAATACATAGAAGTATTCACAACCACCATGGACATACATTAACCTGTAATATATGTATTTATATATGTGTGTGTGTGTACACATGCACACACACATACGTATCTACTTCCTTCACAATAAGGAACTAATGGGGGCCTCTAGCAAGTGTTATAATTCACCCCAAGATTATTATTCTTCCAGATTCTACACAATCCCCCTGTTAGACAAACTGCTGTTCGTATAACACATCATTTACTCTAAGAATAGTTGTTTTCTTATTTTATGACTCATTTCTATCTGCAGAAGTCTTTAGTCATTGTATTTGCTAAAGCCCATCTCACATACAGACTTTATCAATGGATTGCAGTAAGGCTTTCCTTACATCCAATATGCTTTACAAAATGAGAGCTGCCTGTTTGTTTGTTTGTTTTTTGAATGAAGCATTGGATCGTTCTGTGCCCTCTAATATAAGCACATGATCCTGTGTAGCTTCTCTGTTGCAATCATGATTCTCTTTTGATATTTCATTGTTGGAATAATTATATCCTACCCAACTATGGCAGATGTAAACCTGATTGTGGTCCATACTGAAGACAAATCTCTCCTTCTCCATTATCACAGTGGTCCTTCTTGTATCACCTTAGTAAACATCTCTGCACCACCAACCCCCTTAGAGAAACTCAGTAGCATTCAACTTTAATGACTTCCAACATGCCCAGATGTGGGCTGCACTGGGCACAAAATAATTTTAATTTCCAAAATATTAAGAAAGTTACAATTTTAAGAATAAAATATTTAAGAGACAATAATTGTTATAACTACATATTTTATCCACGAAAGTGTCATCAAAATGAAAGAAAACAGAGATTAAGAAAGAAGAAAATAACATACGTATTGTAGTACAAGGCCTCACATAAACACCTACAAATTCATGAGAAAGTAGGGGCTTCTCTTCCTTAGTACTTCATCATAAATGAAATATATGTGTCATATGAGTTTAAACAAGGGGAGAGTTGAAATAAAGAGTTACGTATAGCATTATACCAATATACTGTAAAATCTAGTCTAAGTGGCTGGTTCCAGAGAATACCTTTACCAGAACTGACTTGAGAAAGCCAAACTGCAACTGCCTACAAGGTACGGGGGAGGCGAAGGATGGAAAGCAAACTGATTTTCATCATAAAATGTTTGAGGTGCAGGATGTACAATAGGGCTAAACACAGAACCATTATTTAAAGGCCTGTTTAATGAGCAGTTGTACTCCCAGATTGCCCTCCCACCCACTACCACCTGACACCAGCAGAAGATGGGAGGTTCCCCCTCTGCAGTTGAAGAAGAGATGATCTCAATTGAAGCTTTGAGGCAGAGCTGAGGGTGGCATTGGATGACATTCTGAAATCAGACAGAGTAAATAACAATGTGCACACTGAACATTGCTACCCACTCCTGTTCTCTGCACTTACCCCACAATGCTGGTAGCTGGATTCATACCATCACAGGCGAGATGGAAGGAAAATCTTCTGCAGAGAGACTTATACAGACTAATATTTGGGGGTTCCCCCACTGAAAAGACAAGATCTGCTTTGAAGCAATCCACTGTGAGGCACACCAGTTGACAATATTCTCCTCAAAACAGAAAACTTCCAGGAAGCTCTTACAGGGCCTCACTCTAATTAGGAGCAGAGTAGAGAAACATGAATCACTTGATAAAATTATTTCTAGTGACCTCCCTATGGAAGGTATTTACTTCCTGACACAACTGATTTGCTTTGCCCCAGTGGAATCTGTATATAAATGAGGTAGGCCACACCCAAGGTAACAGCCATCAAGCAGTTGCACCTTGGCACTTTTTCCTCTGCCAGGAGAATGACAAAGCACGTAAGGGCCTCTCGTGCAGCCTGGATCCCAGAATGACAGACCTGGGAGGGAAGCCACCATTGACTTGCAGGCAACATGTAAAAGTGAGCAAGAAATAAAGCTGCTGGTATAAACCCCTTTGGTTTGGGGATTGTTGGCTACCATATTGCTAATTCCTGATGGCATAACAACTGTACAGATAAGAGGCAAAAACAAAAATAGAAACAAAAAAAATTCTTGGTGAAACTATAACTTACATCCTCAGAGAGAAAAGAGAGCAAGTTATATCCATTAAAATGTAAATTGCGATAAGGAATGAACTTTGAAAGAATGAGAGAGACCTCTCCAACATAATCATTATAAATTAATATATCTTAAATTCCAAATTCACTTAAAATGTTGGGAAGACAAAATGGAAAAATATCTATGAAATAAAAAATGTCTATTTGAATTTTTAGTAATTTGGCTATTTGTATTTGAAAGTTATATATTAAATACAAATTTATAAATACAGATTTAGCTATTTGTATTTGAAAGTTGTATAGTCTAATAAAAACAAAATTAAATTTAAAACATTTAAAAGCCAAATATTGATAATATTCAAAAGTGGAAAATTTTCTATAAAATGTATGTGCATTAGCTGAATTAAGACTATATTTGAATTTTATAATGTTAATATATTTTAATATATAGAAATTATTTATATACATAATACTCCTGTTCTATTTCTTCTATTAAGTGTGTCTGTTGATAACATATAGATACACATTATTCTCTATCTGCATAAATGATGAAGATAGCTATAGAAAATTGTGATTTAACCAAATGGTAATAAAACTATAGAAAATGTACCAAAAAGAAGAAAGACTCATCAGTTCTTGTTATCTTCAACAATAGGTAAGAAGACTGTTCAGCTGTGTCTTCCAAAATTATTGTTGTTTTAACATAATTTTTAAAGTTGACTTTGTAGTCAACTCTGACATTGTAAATTCCATCTCTTATCTCTTGACAGCTGAAACCTCGGGGTGACCTTACAAATAAAGTCAGATCTTATGAGGCATCATGAAATACAGAGTAAACAGGAACACGATGTCCTTTGGTGAGGCTTGATAACCATAGCAGCAAAGAAGGACACAATAAGCTGCAATAAATGTCCTGGACATGGAAAATGTTATACATGTAGCAAAAAGAACTTGATTATGAAAAGAAACTCAATTCAAAAAGGCTTATTTTGGCAATCACAAGCAGTTGCTATTTCTTGGGCAAGTATCAATTGCTTAATAACCCAGAATTGCAACTTTTGAAGTGGCAAAAATGTATTCTTTTTTTCTGGGTCTTGTAAAAATTTGACCATAGCAAGACAGAGAAGTATCTATGAAGAAAAGGAAAATAAATTTCAAGCCATTGTATTTATATTTTCAAACAATTATATACTACAACATTAGATTATCATTATTATAGTGATTTAACCTGGCTTCACTTGTCTAGAACATTTAGGAAATGTTATTGTTTTGAACTGTTTAGGAGAATTAGCTTTGTAATTAATACTTAAAATGTTCAAGATAACTCTACTTAAATTGGTTTGCAGTTTACTAGTCACATCAGTAGTATTTAAATGTTTGGGGAAACATTCAGTAAAAATAAACTTTTTAAAAATTGAGTTTATATATAATATAAATAATAGCTGTATTCTTCACACATGCAAAACAATGAATCTTGGACAACAATAACCCTAGCAACAATTAGTAAAAACTCAAAAAAAAATAAAAAGAAAAGAAATGCACATGAGACAGACTAAGTTTCCAAGCACATGGGGGCACACTGCTTTTGAGCTAGATATCTGTGGAATATTCAGTTAGGAATATCCATCAGTAGCTGATAGTATGTATCTGGAGTTTATGTGTAATGTTGGGGTTGATATAGAAATATCAGGGCCAAGGCTGATATCAGCCAAAAGAGTTGATAAGATGTTCCAAAGAGGTAGCATTTGGAAACCCCAGGAGTTTAATTCAATCTCAGTTTTCCTGGAACTATCTTAATGACACTCTACTCAAACCTGGTGAGGTGAACTGCTATCCCCAAAATTCTAAAAGATCAAGACTTGGATTCAAACACTTTAGGATAAACTTGCTGGTAGTGAATTTTCTATATGACCTTGAACAGATATTTTACTTTACTTTGATTCAGTCACTTTATGATTTAAATAATTGTGTTTGACTAGACAGTTTCTAAAAAGAAACAAACAAAAATCCCAAAACTATTCAATTATCCTATGAAATCCTATGGCATAAGTAGCATAGAACTTGTAACTTAGCACTGATTTCAAGTCAGAGTTACAAGTCTTGATATTTTCATAACATGATGATGTTTTCAAATGTAAACTGGACTTTCTGGGGTTGAAACTGTGCTGAAGCACTATGTTAGTAGCTCTATTTTTAGTAAAAATACTATTATTAACCTATATTAAAAATATTTTGTCTATGTCATTTAATGTTTTTTCATCTGGAAAAATTTTTATATAGTATTTTTTAAAACTAATAGCTCTTGATTAAAAAGACACAACTAGTCAGTCATCCCTATTCATAATTTCTATGTTCCTAGAAATTACAGGAAGAGTCAACCTTAGATAGACACATCATCTAACAGACCCACCTATTTTAGTTAGAAAACACTTAGCTTCAATTTGTTATTACTAAATTAAGGCCATAGGTGGTCATACTGACATAGATAGATAGATGATAGATAGATAGATAGATAGATAGATAGATAGATAGATAGATAGATGGTAGATAGATAGATAGTAAAAACTCAAAAAAAATTCTTAAATTTTGAGTATCCGACCTACTATTCTTAGTTAGTTATTATGCATTATTTTTATTGCCAAAGCCAGAAACTTAATATATGCTATCAGATCACAAAAATGATAGATTTGTATCTATCATTTAGACTACATTTTTGTTCATCTGAATGTGAAAAGCCTTAGGCAACAAGATTTTTCTATCTGATTAACTCTCCAGAGAAAATGGAAGCCTGAAAATCTTTCTTTGCACTTGTAAAGAAAGCTCACCATTTAAAATAAAGAGCATAATTTACTATAAAAGGATAACAAAATTATTCATTAAAAGAAAATAAGGTATATTTAGAAATATCTCCTTTCAGTTGAAAATTTTTACCTAATTTATTAAACTATATTTTTGAAGACAAAGTATCGTTGTATTCCTACATTCTTTCTTTAAGAAAACAAGTGCATTGTAGTTATCCTTCTAACTTTAAAAGCATAGTGCAATGTATATTAACCTGAATTGAATGGTTTATCTGCAAGTGCATTTATTCTCAGCTCTTTATCCTGATCCTTTCTTGCTTTCAGAGTTATCTTCTGCAGCATTTAAATATGAAAAACCACATTGCATAATTTCAGTTTGACAAAGAATTCAAGGTATTTGGGGTAGACTGACTAAGGAAAAGATTGGATGATCGATTAACCTGATAAAATCAAAAATAAAAAGAGAAGAAAGATATCTGTGGACAGAGAGAAGATGAGAAGAAATACCTGGCAATAGAGATATTAAACTTTACTTCTGAATCCACTTGTATTACCTTTGATAGATTTTGTGCGTGTGTGCATATGTGTATCATTGCATGTTAATATAATTGCATGAAAGTTTTAGGATAATACAAGAAACCCCTTATACCTTGTACCAATATTCAACAATTTTTTTTACATTTTGCTCAATTTGCTTTTTCACTCTTCCTCACCTTCTCCTTCTTCTGCTTACCCCTTTCTTTCTGTCTCACCTCTCCCCACCCATCCAGGGCACATATGTGTATGCACACACACATAGACATATAATTTCTTCTGAGCTTTTGAGAGTAAATTGGAGACATAATGCCCCTTTACTCCTAAATTATTCAGTGTGCATTTTATAATAAGAGCATTTTCTTAGCCACAATCCAATTAGCAAAAGAGAAAAATATAACATTGATTCAACACCACTATTTAACCCACAGTCCATTATCAGTTTTTACTAGCTGACCAAATAATGTCCTTTATAGCTATTGGATTTTACCTGTCCAGGATGCATTCAGGATCTCATACTATATTTAATTGTCATGACTCTTAAGTCTCCATTAGTCTGGAAGAGTTTCTTAACTTTTCATTGTCTTCTTAATTTAATTTTTTGAAAAGTTGATGTGGCAGTGATTTGGTAGAATAGCCCTCAGTTTAGGTTGCTTGGTGTTTCCTCCCAGTGAAATTCAAGTTATATATTTTGTCAGGATTTTGTGTCCTTCTGAGTATACCGTATCATCAATACATGATGTTGGCTGTCTCCAAATCATTGATGTCAACTTCAGTCAGTGGGTTCCTGATGTTTGCCTGGTTTCTCCACTGTAAATTTTCCATTTTTTACTTTATAATTAATAAGTAATGTCTCGGGAGATACTTTGAGACTCTATTAATAACCTATTCCTAATCAAACTTCCACTCACGAATTTTAAGCCATTGTAATATTCTAACTCCATTATTCCTTGGACATTTATTAGCCTGCATTCTTCTACAAGAAAGAGCTTTTCTTTTTCCCCCATTAATTAACAAATTGATTAATTTATAACAGTGTGAACTCCCAGAATTTTTTATTATTAATGTACATTTTGTTTCTGTCATTATTTTCATGCTAAACTTGCCCCATTGTTGACCAGTGAGCACCCCATCAAGCTGACTTCTGCTAAATTTTGAGATTTTTCCAATTATTTCTTAAACACTTCATGAATTTCTGGCACAACAAGGCATTCTAGGGTCATTTTACACTTTCTCTGCACCAGTCCCGGAGTCAGCATTTATTCCAAAGGTCCCTGGTTCCTTTAAGTGAAAAATGATATCTAGACACTTAAGTATGGGCATTAAGTTTGATTAAATAAACACACACACATACACACACATTGATGAGTTCATACTGCTACTTACAATTTCTACTATCATTGATATATTTATAAATTTGCTTAAGCCTAGTGATACAAAAAGTAGAAAAATTGTTTTCAGAATTATTAACTAATCCATACCACTGGGTAAAGCAAACTAATTTAAGCAAGTCTTTTTCTAAGTTAAATATTTACAAATACACAAATACACAAATCTTCAGTATAAAACTAAATTTTATTTTTGATACATATATAACACCCATATAATCTACACCTTTATCAAAATATAGATAATTTCTGTCTCCAAGAAAATTTTCTTTTCAATCCCCCGACAAGAGACAGTTTTCTGACTTTTTTTCCAACATAGATGGTTTTACTTGTCTTAGTTCATAAAAATGAATGTATACAGTTCTTACCAATGTACTACTTTGTGCCTGGCTGCCTTAGGTGACCTAATGTCTCTGAGATTTATCAATATTGTTGCCTAATCATCAGTGTTTTTTTAATTGCTGGTAACTGTCTGTTTTATGAACAGACCAAAATTATATAAGTATGACACCATTTGATGACTTTTTAAAAAATGTATTACATTGCTAATATCAGCACCATTGTCTCTAAAATGGTATTGACAAAGTTATTGTTTCTATCTTCAGGGTAAAAGATTTGGGGAAGAAGTATATGAAGATTACCTGGGGTGGGGGGAAGTTGCTAATACCAATTCAAGTTCATCTTTCCATGGAAAATGGATCTTAAAATATGTGATGACCAAGGGAGAAATTTTCACAATATCCTTTGCTAAAATTTAGTATAAAAAGAGTTGAATTTACAACCAAAAGGCATAAGTTCGAATCCCAAACCTAGTACCTGCTAGCCATGTGACTTTGAGCAACTCACTTCATCTTCCTGAGCCTCAATTTTGCCATATATAAAAAGAGAATAATAGACTTTCCATCATACCAAAAATTGAAGACCAAATGAGTTGGGTAAACTATAACAAGCTATACAAATTTAACGTATTACGATATTTACCAAAAATATAGAGTTATAATAGCAGTTCTATGAATTGAGCAGCACTAGTTGTTTTTTTGTTTTGTTTTGTTTCATTTTTGTTGTTGTTTTTTTTTCATTTGTTTCTTTCACTTCAGGAGTCTAGTGTGAGTTGGAAGCTTCTAAACTGGTGTCATCAAATTTATGGGACTCATTTTCTAATTTCAAGAAAATCAGCTTTGGGATTCAGACTCCCCTGGACCTGTTAATTCAAATCTAGTCTAGTTCTCAAGAAGCGTATTAGCAACACAGGGAAGCCCCCAAATCTCTCTTGGATACCTTTCCTAATGTTTCATGGTGTAAATACTAACCAGAATCTTTGTGTCTGGTACCAAAATGTTACCCAGAATTTTGAGGTAAGGCCTAAGGATGTGTATTAGCAGTATTTCACACTGCTATAAAGATACTACCTGAGACTGAGTAATTTATAAAGGAAAGAGGTTTAATTGACTGACAGTTCCACACGGCTGGATAGGCCTCAGGAAACTCACAATCATGGTGGAAGACAAAAGGGAAGCAAGCTTGGACCTTTTCACATGGCAGCAGGAGAGAGAGAAATACAAGGAGTGAAGGGGGAAGAACCCCTTATAAAACCATCAGATCTTGTGAGAACTCACTCATTATCATGAGAACAGCATGAGGAAATGGCCCTCATGATCCAATCACCTCCCACTTCCTTAGACTGGTGGGGAATATGGGGATTATAATTCAAGATGAGATTTAGGTGGGGACACAGCCAAACCATATCAGAATGCCTTTCAACATAGCCACAACATTAGGTGTCATGTTTCTTATGTGTTGATTTTAGTCACTATTTTCATCCTTTAGTTCCCCTGACATGCTAAACAGATTCATGTGAATTTACCTTCCAGGGGTTATACAAAGGTGTTTGGTTATAATCTATATTGAAAGCATTTTGACTCTGTTAAATTTTATATCTTAATTAATGTGAATTGAAAAGAACTTAGTGACTGCAAATGGTGTGAAGAGATACTTATAGCTGTCTAGGCAATATGAGGTAAACTTACAATTCAATTTGTGTAATAAAAATTGAACTAAAGAACCTAAGAAATGGGAATTTATCAAAACTGCAAAGCAAGCATGAATCAATCCCATTGCTGCAACTGTTCTGGGAAGATAAGAACATAAAAGTTTCAGTAGACATTTTGCTTAAAAGACCTGCTCTGTAGACTCCAGATGATGAAAAGTGACTTCAGTTTGCCCATTTTATCCAGTCCCTTTTCATTCCCTGCCTTAGAAACTCAAACGCAAGTCTCCCATGTGCCAGTCTCAATTCCGTAAAACCTCCTTTGTAACTGCTCTTTCCAAACCTTGTATTTATTTCTGGACAAGATGATTAATAAAAATCAACTTGGTTTTGATAATGGTTTTTCTGTTGATCTTTGTGGGGACCCGTACAATTTTATGAGGCTCCACTGGGTCCTATTCAAAACTCCCTTCTTATGTGGCCCAAGACCTCTGACTTGAGACTGTCTGGCACTTCCAATACCCCTTGACCCACTCCTGCCAGGAGTCTGTTCTAGGCTGCTGTGGTAAATAACTTTCCAGCAAGAGATAAGCTCTGATCTTTATGCAGTAAGCCCCCTGCTGGGTTCATCTTGCATCTTAGGAATTTGTCCTTTGGGAATATTTTTATTTCTAACCAAAGTTAACTACTTATTTTCTTTGGTGAAAGCTGCCAACTATCACTTTTGCCTCTTAATTTTTTTTTTATTTCTAAAGAATGTAATCTCCTGTTGTATATTTACATAAGAAAACTCATAGGATAGAAGACAGAGATACTCCCTACTTAATCTATTCTCCAAATCTCCCCTAATGACTAATAAGTTAAAATTCTCATTAGAAAATCATCCTTTCTACAACAAACTGCCTTGGGTCCTCCTTCAAAACTATGTAAGCACCACCTACCTTTTATCTTGTATTTGAAAAGTTTACTCTTACGTAGATTGCTTCCGTATATATTCTGCCTGTGGGGGACCATCAATTGTTCAGTTGTTGTAGAGATGATCTGACGATCAGGGACGATCAGGAAGAGATGGGGGACTTAGGGCATGGAATATTATAACTAGACACTTTCAACCAAACATATTTATGTTGTTCGTGGGTTTGTATAATAGTTAATATAAACCACCTCCTAGCAGTCCTACAAATTCTTATATCCACTTAAGCTCTCATCATGCACCTATCTCTCTAAATGGCATAATTTTTTTTACCAAGGACCATTTGAAAATACAGAAGCCATTCTGTGGAACATTTGATATGTCTAACAGTGTATTACCTTTCAGGTTAACAAGATAATAAGAATCAAAACATCCAATAATCATTTTTAAATTGATATGTAGATACTCTTCAAAGAGAGTTCAAATTAGCATCCTTAAAGGTCACTTTGCAAAGGTTAAAGAGAAACTCATTTCAATCTCTGATCTTCTCTTTCACTTTTTCTACCTCCTCCTTCTATCACTCCTTAAGCCTCTACAAGAATTTTTGTCTTTAAGGATACTCTACAAGAATGTCCTTTTCCTCAAGAAGTTCCTTCAAGAAACTAAATATTGCTTTCAGGCTGAACTTCATGCCATTTTCAAAGAGTTTTCTAAACATAAAGAAGAGAAAACCAAATAATACTTGTGCCAATTTCATCAACAGAAACTTACTCTATAAAGGGAGCTGTAAACAAGAGACTTTTTTCAGAAGACCCAGAAAATTCTCCTACCGATAAACAAATTATTGTTGAATTAGTCATCTCTATACCCAAGCTATACAAGCTTCAAAACAAAATTGAAGAGTTGGCTTTTACAAGAATACTGATGGGCTAATACTACCAGATAATCCATGAAAAATTCCATACTGATAATGTGTAAATTTTGCCTAAATGACTGATTCCCTTAAGGTAGATGCCAAAGAAGGCAATAAAATTAATTTTTAAAACCATAGAGATTAGAAAGAGGAGAGAAAACTTTTTATTTGCCAATGGTAAATTCATTTATGTAGAAAACTTTAAGCAATTTACAAAAAAATATTCTATTAGAACTAACAAATGAGTTTATCTATTTTGCAGTATGAAAAATAAATATCAAACAACCATTGTGCTTCTATATGTTAAGAATCACTTGGAAATGAGATATAAACTATTGCATTTAAAATATCTTTAAAAACAAACAATACTGTGAGATGAATTTAATAATATATGTTCTAGACCTTACACAATGAGAACAATAAAATAATGCAGAGAGAAATTAAAGAAGGCTAAATAAATGGACAACTCTACCACATTCAAGGATTGGAAGGCTCAATATTATTATGATGGAATTTCTCCCCAAATTGGTCTATGTATGCAACTCAAACACTATATAAAATACTAACAGTGTTTTTAGATTGACTGATTTCTTTACATAAAAATTCAAAGGACCTAGAAAAGCCAAAATAACATTATAAAATTTGTTAAAGTTTGAGAACACTACTTAATTTCAAGACTTACTATAAAGGTGCAGCAATCAAGTCATTGTAATATTGGCACAAGGATAGACATATAGAGTAAAGGAACCAAACAGAACATGAAATAAACCAACCTATATGTGGTCAACAGATTTTTTCCAATAAATTTATCAAGCTATTTCAGTGGGGAGAAAAAAATTTTTTTAACAAATGGTGATGAAACAACTGGGTATATACAGGGGTGAAATGAACCTTGAACTTTTCCTCGTCTATGAAAATTAACTCAAAATTAATCTATACCTACATGTAAAAGTCAAAGCTATAAAATGTCTCAAAGTAAATGCAGTAGAAATTCTCAGTCATAGGGTAGAAAAACGTTTCTTAAGTGGGATACAAATAAAACAAGTAAATGAAAAAAATAATTTGTACTTTATCAAAGCTAAACATTTATGTTCTTTGAAAGACACTGTTAAGGAAACGAAAAGACTAGTCATAGACTAATATAAAATATTTGTAAAAGATATACCTGCTTTAAAAACTTAATCTAGAATATAGATTTTTAAAAGCTCATATAGAATATAGATTTTAAAAAGCTCTTACAACCCAACAAAAATGAACAAAGAACTAAACAGCCACTTTATAAAATGAAATATAAATGCCAATTAGGAACATATAAGATATTTGCCATGATAGGCCTTTAGAAAATGCAAACTAAAGCCACAATGCGATACTACTATATACCCACTAGAATTAAAACAAAATTGTAAAAGAAAACATCAAATTTGGCAGGGAAGTGGAGCAACTGGCACTCTTCTGTACTGCCAGTGATACTACATAGTAACACAGTTGTTCTGGGAAATAGTTTGGCAATTTTATACAAATGGCCAACAAGCATATGAAAAAATGCTTAACATCACTAATCATCAGAGAAATGCAAATTAAAACCACAATGAGATATCATCTTATACCAGTCAGAATAGCTATTATTAAATGTCAAAAAATAACAGATGTTGGTGTGGATACAGAGAAAAAGGAACGCTTATACAATGTTGGTGGGAATGTAAATTAGTACAACCTCTACGGAAAACAGTATGGAGGTTTCTCAAAGAACTGCAAATAGAAGTATTCTTTGATCCAGCAATCCCACTACTGGATATCTACCCAAAAGAAAAGAAATTATTATGTTAAAAAAGACACCTTCACAGATATGTTTATCACAACACTATTCACAATAGCAAAGATAAGGAATCAGTCAACTGTCTACCAACAGATGATTGGATAAAGAAAATGTAGTGTGTGTGTGTGTGTGTGTGTGTGTGTCTGTGTGTATACAACGGTATACTATTTCAGTGAAATACTATTCAACCACAAGAAAATAAAATCATGTATTTTGCAGCGCAGCATGGATGGAACTGGAGACCATTATCTTATGGGAAGAGAAACAGAAAGTCAAATACCACATATTCTCACTCATAAGTGGAAGCTAAATAACATGCACACAGGACATAGAGTGTGGAATAATAGACACTGGAGGCTCAGAAGGGTGGGAGGATAGGAGGGGGTGAAGGATGAGAAATTACTTAATGGGTACAATGTACATTATTTGATTGATGGCTATACTAAAAGCTCAGACTTCACCACTACACAATATATCCATGTAAACAAAACTGCATTTATACCCCTTAAATCTATACCAAAAAAAAAAAACCATAAACTTGCATTTACCATATATCCCAGCAACCTCATTCTAGGTATTTCCCCAAAAGACGTAAAAACACATTTACCTCAAAGATTTGTGCACCAATGTTCACAGACACAATAACACAAATTCCCCACCTAACAGTTTTATAGATGGCATTTACTTAAGGAATGATCAAAGAAAATACCAGGCTGGATATGCAAGACCCATCTCTGTATAACTTCTAGAATTCAATCCCTTCCCAGCTATTTAGCCAAAATTCCTAGAGAAAGTCACAATTTTCTAAATTGCCAAAGAACCAATATCTGTACCAACAGCAGATATCCTTTTAGGGTCATACATGATTTTGGCATGATGTGGAAAAAGGAAATTTCCTCATGTCTGATGCCCCCAGTAAAAGTAGGCAGAAAACACACAAATTATTAAAATCCTTCAATTGTCAAAGCAGTTAGATATAATTTAAATTGAAGCTCACAGTATATAACATAAATTCTGTAACATGGTTAATTGGGAGAAACATAACAGGCCACAAATATTGGCCATATATGTATTTTTGAATTTCCTAGTTGCCACATAGAAATTTAAATATGCAATTAATTTGAATAATATATTTTATTTAAACACATATGTTCAAAATATTATCTTAAAATGTATTATAACTAATATAACAATGTTAATGAGATACTTCACATTCTTTTCTATTAAGCATTCAAAGTTTACTGCTTCACACTTACAGTACATCCCCATTTGGATTAGCCAAAATTCAAGTGTTCAATAGCCACATATGGATAATGCCTACCGTATCAGACACCAAAGCTCTAGAAGCTACTGAAAATGCCCTAGCTAATCATTATTATTTACAAAAAAAAAAAAGCTCCCTTGACATAGGTCCCCCCATAAGGACCATTCAACGATTAAGGGATAAATCTATGTATTTTTCCAAAGAGTCTATCATAAAAGCTGATAATTCAGCCTAAAATTCTGAGAAAAATAATATGAATTATCTGGTTGGAAAACCCAAGATAAATTTGGTGAGGCCAAATATTTGATTATTGGCACTGATAGCCTCAAATGGACATTCACAAAAATTATTCAGGAAAAGTTACCATTGTGAAAGACAAAAGTTGGTTACCATGAAAAAATAACATGGTGAGTAAAGTTGTGGTTTGTTTCTGACTCATAATCAACATAATACTGAAAAAACTGAATCATCTGAGGATATCTACACACCTATTTTAGCCCTGAATCTTCTTTAAGCTTAGTTAAATATTATAAAAGGCTAATTCATGATACTGTCTCATCATCAAGAATTAAAACTATCTCTCCACAATATCCCTGTGTTCAGCCATTACAAAATCTTCAACCTGAATTTTTGGTGTTTTGAAAAAGTTAACAAAGAAAGGCTGCCCTTGAACCTTGTTGGAAACAATTTTATTGGGTACTGTTAAGTATACATACAGTAATCAGACTTCAGTGTGTTGACACTTGGGTCCATGGTCTACAATTTAACATGTTCAATTCCATATGCCAATCTAAACTCTTGGGTTACCTCCAGATGAGGATACCTAGATATTTCTCAGAAGTAGTTGATGCCATAAAGCAGACACCTTCCACCAGGAATTTTGGCTCGAGCAGATGATTCTTGATGCCCATAGTCTCTACTAAAAATCTGTGTAACACAAATAATAATGCTTCTTTAATCTGCATAGAGTTATTCTTTATTTTCCTAGCTATCTTCTTTTCTCTCTGTGGGTTTAAGGTTTTGGATAGCTGAGATACTGGTAGCCCCTTTACTATTGCTCCACTAATGTCCCTATTCCTATTTATTGTTCTTCTCACTCCTCATCTAATTCCTGGCTATGATGTATTCATTATTTGGCTAAAACATGCAATCAAATCAAAAGTCAAATTGTTTCTAATTTTCTTTGGATGCCATCCAGCTTCCTTTCATACCAGTTGAAAATCAGTTAATTTCATGAGTATTTGTATTCAAACACAAAATGGCAAACATAACCCTAGACTAGACAAAGTCAAAAGATTTTTATCACATGATACGTAATATTGGCAGATTCTGTCTCCATAAAACAAACCTGGGGCTTTTCATAGGAGCTAGACTTCATAACTAAACATTCACAGAACTAAAACTTGGTGAAGAACTAAGAAATGGATTCTACGCAAGTCAAACTGCCTCATTTTTATAAACCTTCCAAAGAAACATACTACTCAGGCCCTACCTAATTCATGCTCTTTTAGTATAGATCCACTTTTTGCTCTTTAATTCCTCTGTCTGGTGCGAGACCACTCTTGCAGAGTGACATTGTAACCATATAACACAAACAATCTTATGGGAATATTTTGGCTAAAAATTGATCATCAGGTGGTCACCAATGCCTAGTAGTGTATTTTCATCCGAAAAGCTTATTTGCTACAAAGTACAAATTGAAGAGAGACTTGCTGCCTCTCTCTTCAATGTTGGAAACAGGCACCTGCTTTTGAGGTAATCCCTGATATCACTCTTGGTCCATATTGGCCTATCAATTCACTTTCTTGAAAAAGAGAGAGAGAGAGAGAGAGATCCTCAGCTAAGTTAAATCAAGAAGAATGTCTGGGCTTTGATTGAGACCCAAGTCTTATTCATTGATGTGAAATTGTGGAATTCTGGATATCTATTTTTTTGTTCTTAACCCTCTCTTTCTCAAGCTTTCCAACAGGACACACATGAAAAAACAGGGACCATCCTAATATCCTACTTACTATGGTTCAGAGATTGGCAGGAGATATAGGCAATATCATTAAAACATATTATCTTCTCACTCAAGAAGTTCACAAGATTGTGGTCCAAAGCACAGCAGCCCTAGATGTAATATTGTCCTCTCAAGTTGGAGCACATGACATATCAGGGGAAAATCTTGTGCCATTATCCCTACAAGTCTTTCTGGGGTCTTAAAGGTAACCAAAACTATTTGAGGAAAAAAAATTAGAAAATTAGGAAATTTGGCTAATACCACTCTATCTAGTTCTGCTGAATTTTGAAATTAGAGTTGAAATTTGTGCTCTTGGTTTAACTTGGCACAGTTGGCTCCTGACCTAGCATCAACTACAAAATCTCATCACAATCCTTTTTTTAGTATTGTTCTCTGCTATGATTTAGACATGTTTTGTTTGGCACTGCTGAGTCTCTTGTTGAAATTTGATTCCTAGTGTTGGAGATGGGCCTGGTGAGAGGTGTTTGGATCATGGGGGTGGATCCCTCATGAATGGCTTCCAAGGGAGTGAGTGAGTTCTCACTCTTAGTTCTTGAGAGCACTAGTTGTTGAAAAGAGCCTGGCACCTTTTCCCTACTCTTTCAGCTCCTCTCTCACCATGAGATCTGTACATGCTAGTTCCCCTTCACCTTCTACCATGAGGAGAAGTTCCTTGAGGCCCTCATCAGAAGCAGATATTGGTATTATGCTTCTTGGACAGCCTACAGGGGCTGAGACAAATCAACTTCCTTCCTTTATAAATTACCCAGCCTCAAGTATTTCTTTATAGCAGCATAAACGAACGAAGACAGTCTCTGTTCCAATTCTGAAATGGTGGTCTCCATTATCCTAAATTCCACTCTGTCTCCAGATAATACAATAATAACTCAACAGAAGCAAGAGCTAGCTTATATTGAAGTCCAAATGTCAATGAATGTGACAAACGTCAACCACAGTTTAGATCTGGACTGAGCACCTTGGTAGATGGTCAAACTTGCAGTTCTGGCTAAAGGATGACTAAAGAGAAGATGAGAAATAAAATCTCAACTTGAAAATCTAACAAATGAAAATCTACTCCGACTTCAAAATTAAATAAACCACCCCATTTTCATAGTTCTGAAAATAAGAAAATACAAAATGCAGTGAAGTGTTAACTTGAAGGCCCCCAGACAATCAAAAGTAATCCCATCTGGCTATTTTAGCTTATCTCTCTAGCAGTTTCCTTGCTTGTGAAGTCTACCTCAAAAAACCACCAAATTTCTAACCTTAACCCTGGTGCCAGATTTATACAAATAATTCGGCAACTTTCCTTTTATAGGTATTATTAAAACTTTGTGCTTAACAGCATTCTACCTTGCCAGAAATATTATGAATAAAACCAGCTTGTTTTTTGAGATAGGCTTTGCTAGTGATATTTATTGGGATTCCAACAAATTATACCTTTGATTACTTTTTCATTTACCTAGCTGATATGCATCTATTATTAGCAGTTTTAATATAAAATAGTAGTTTTTATGTGTAAACAGTTAAATTTGGTAAAGCTGTTGTTCTTTGACCCAAACGATATGTATTTACTGTTTCCCAGAAATTTGCAACATACATACATACACACATACAATATGTGGATACATACAAAAACACACACACACACATACATACATACACAAAATATATGGATACACACACACACCAAACAAAATTTTCTAAATTGGCAGATCATTTATCTGCATAATTACCCCAATTGTTACCAAAATAGTAACTATGAGGAGAAGCAACATCAAGAACTCTGAGTAGTGAAGACTCTCCTCTAAAAACCCTGACCTTGAGTAAACAGAATGGCTGAAAGTATGAAAATGGAACGAAATGGTAAAGATGGGAGAAAATAATGTTCAAGACAGGTCTGTATTTCTGAACTCTTTGTTAAGCAAGTCCTCCTTAGCTGTTCTGAGGCTACGCAGTTTACCTAATTTACCACCTAAAGCCGTTTATAAATAAATCAAACAGAAGCTATGAAAGGAAGCTAAATCATCCATCATGCCTTTTGAGGCCTAGTCTACCTAAAAACAAACATCATTTAATTCCAGTTTACTGTAGCAGCAAGTGGAAATAACACGAAGTCCTCGTGAGCCTGGCACTGCCTCCTGACACAGAGATCTGGTGCCAAGTTGCTGAGTGATTTCAATATCAGGGTTGAATAATCATTTTCATCATTCATTTTAAATGAACAGTGACATGTCATTAATTAGTATTAATCAGGAAATTACCACATAAGCGCAGAGAGAATGGTGGCCCACACACAGCTCATTAAGCTTACAGAGCTTAAGACATGAACTGAAATTTTAGATGCAAATAACTCATTTAAAAAAATCTTTCTAATATAATATGAAACAAAAATGGATTTTAAGTAAATATTTTTAAAGTAAATGAAATATTAGCTTTGGTCAATAACCATGACTATTTGTTTTTCTAAAGGAGGAAAAAAATATTTTCCACTGCAAAAGAAGTACTACAGATCAAAAAATAAATGTCACATATGAAGAAAAAATTCTACCAATAAATTAATATCTCAGCATGCTATTTTATAAATGACATTTGTAGAGAAGGCAGAGTGAAATCTATGTAATAAACAGTTAATCCAAAACTTCAATTTGACTATTAATTGATCTTCTTGCTGATGTTAAAGAGAAATATTATTACTAAGAACCAAAAATAAGAAAAGCATATTGACTTCTGTATTTTCTGTGCATCTTAAGCATTTGACAGACATTTTCTTGGAAATAATTGAAGTGAGCCTGTGACTTCAAGGAAGACACCTTGTGTTTGTTGCCAAAAATGTAAGCTTTCCAACAAAAAGCAAAATTTTGAAAAATTTATATCTACCATATGATAACTTCCCACAAAATGTATCTTCTGATGAGATCAGTGGTGATATTAACAAATGTGACTTTTTTCACATTATAAAATCAAATATGTTGACATTCAGAATACTTGCATCACTCAGTAAACCAATGTTTTCCAAATGACCAATCCATGATGTTAAAAAAATATAAAAAATAAAAAAATTGAGTCAGGCATGGTGGTTCACATCTATAGCCCTAGCTACTTGGGAGGCTGAGGTGGGAGGATTAAAGCCAGGAGTTCAAGGATGCAGTAAGGTATGATCACATCATTGCACCACTCCACTCCAGCCTGAGCAATAGAGTGAGATACCCCATCTAAAAAAAAAAATCAATAAGGGCCAAAAGATTTTAATGTCACAGAGTACAAAATTCATTCATATGGTTTCTGATTGCATGTTGCAACTAACTTTTAAGAACCTAGCAGTTCCAAATGGTGGTATCAAGAAAAGGTTTTGAAAATAATCCTACCTTTTTCAACTATATGTGAAAGAAAATCTTGCTTAATATATTTTAAACAAAACAATGCATTGCAACAGATTAAATGTGGGTGTTGGTATAATTTATTTCCTTGTGGCAGTATGGCTGAAATATCTTCAGCTCCTCAAAGCCACCCTTAGGTCCCTGCTACATGTCCCTGTTCTTAGGCTGTTCATACTGCAACAGCTTGCTTCTTCAAGGCTAGCAGGAGAGAGTGTCCAGTCTTCTAAGACTTATATAATATAACCTAATCAAAGGAATGGCATTCCATCACTTTTGCCATATTCTATCGGCTAGAAATAAATCACAAGCTCTGTCTGTACTCAAGGAGAGGGGATTATAGAAAGGAAGGGGAGGAGAATATTGGAAACCACCCTGGAGTCTATCACACAAAGTATTGATGACTCCTAAAACAACGGCAACAAAACAACCATTAGCATTCTTTATATAGCATTTCTCCAAACCTGCACAATTTTACTTTGGAGGTTTAAAAAATCAGTTTCTCTCTTGAGAAGCTTTAGGAAGTCCTTTAGAACATTTCATTATAGCTGAGCATGTATCAAATGATTACTAGTTTTTTGAATAAGAAGTATTAAAATAAGCATGCTCCTGCTGTGTTAATCAGAGACTTCTGGGTTGTTAAATTAGCATAAATTATACAAGAAAGTATATTCCCCAGTCGTCTTTATTCTCAACTTCAGGGATTCTGTAACTTTTTCTTTAATAGGCGCTTATTCTGTACAGTAGGGCATGAGCCAATTCTTCCATACGTGACATCACAGAAAACTATCCCCATGAGACCATTAACTAAAAAAATCTCATAACAGTTTCCATTAAGCATTAGGAAAGTAATCCAACAATAAGTTATTTTTCAGTGTCTGATGAGTTAATCCAATGATGAAATCAGTCTGATTTCAAATGTTAAATATATTTAAGTGAATCACATTGAAACTTGAATTAATTTCAAAACAACATTTGCCTTCTGAGCTCAACTACTGAAATATAAAGCAATCACTCTGCACAGTGATATTTCCTGGGAACATATGGACCTCATGATTTAAAAAAGAGAGGTAAAAATATGTGGCAAAGATAAGTAATGAAAGGAAAACAGAGTTATTAGACAGAAATAAAGATATAAAAGTATATTTTTTACCATTACCTCTTATCTCTGTTCTTATATCTTACTTTATCTCCCTTGTTTCCCCGTTCATTTTTAAACATACTGTTTGTTACCATATCTTTGGAGCCTAGAACAATGTCTATATATACTAAGTACTCAAAAAGTATTTGTTGAATAGATGAACTATGAATAAGTAAATTAATTCTATTTTTAGTGTTTTTATCTTTCTGTTACCTAATTCTTGCCACATTTTTATTCTTTATGTCCTCACATAGTCTATCCCATCTTAAAGGTCTGAGGAATAACTATGATAAATGAAAAGAATCACCTACTTGCCATTGATTTAATTAAGAGGAGGAAGAATTAAGATATTGATGTAGACAGAAAGAATTGCTGGTTCAGTGTGCAGGACAAGTAAGCCCTGAATAAAGAATAAAGCCCCCAAAGCATCAGGGAGAGATGAAATTCAATACTATTTTAGGTGGAATAGAGGTTTGAATGAGCCTCTGTTTTTACATTACTCTGGGCTGCTGATTCTGTTGCTCCTGCTAATGCCTCATGGCAGGTGTGCGAGCCTCGCTTTCAAGTCTGATATTTCACAAGATAAACTGGCATTTAAGCTCCTCAGGCTCTCCCTGGGAGTCATTCAATGAATATACCAAAGAGCTTTTGGTTCACTATGATTCCACAAAGGTCAAGTCCTAAACATTTAATGGATATGTGATGATTAAAAGGACTATTTACCATAGATGGTTAGGCCTAAGAACATTTTTTTTCCTAATTTTGATTGCAAATTATTAAGAATAAAACAAAACACTGCCTCAACAATCTGCGTAGACAATATTATTTTAGAGTTTTGTGATTAAAAGAGGTTCTTATTTTAAGTACCTGTATTAATATGACAAAACAATTGCTTTGATGTAAACTAAATATTTTTGTCTAAATTCATATTTTCACTATTATGAGCATTGGTCAGGATGCTAAGAATGAATGTTTTTTATTTTATTTTTATACATGTCCATTTTTAACCAAAGGCTTACTATGAAAAGGAGTAATAAACTATTAGTTAAGAATATTATTCTTCCTCTTCAGGTAAGATCACCTCACATTTTGACTGAATGTATTTAGTCCAACACCTAACTAGTTAAATAGCCAGTTTTACTAGTATAGATAACTTGTTTATATAGATTTATTTTTATAATAGTTTAACTTTTTATCAGCAGCTTCACTTAGTAAATATTACCTGAGATATTTAGTTTCATTCCAAACACCTGATCTAATAAGGATACGCAGTCACTGAGTTTACAAGGATTCTTAGAAATGAAGAAGTCCTCTGCTTGTTAGAAATTATAATTACTGGTTAAAAATATAAGTCAATAGTAAAATTAGATGATATGACAGTGTTGGAATTCTCTGCTGAACTAACAATCACCAAGTAAAATGTCATTCACGTTAGGGTTTTGACAATCTGAGGAGTTTAATTCCGGAGAAAAGGTACCAGTGGTCATTGACAGAGCCAGCCAATCCTGCCTGAGCTGAGTGTCAGCTGTTAAGACTTGGATGTCCTGGGATGAGCCCAGATGAACCTCAAGCCTGCTGAATCACACACAAACTTTAGGAAACAGCTTCTCTGCTGTTGACTTTTGTTTTCAGTCATAAGCAATTTTGAGAAAAAAAAAAGAGCTTAGACAAGATGATGGTTTCTTGGTTAGATCATCAGCACTCATTCAATCAACATTTATTGAGCACATGCTGGGAACCAAGAACTGAGAAAAGTTTGAAAAGACTATTCCTGCAATTCCCAGACAGCTGTAAATAAAATAAAATAATCAGGATTAGAAGCAAAAATATATGACACACTGCAATCATGCAAAAAAATGTAAGTTGAAACAAGATATTAAAGAATAGAGAATAAGGAACCTCAGTATGGGGAATACAGTAAGAAAATAAAAGAGAAAAAGTTTCTGCATAGAAAAGCATTAAGAAAAATAGTTCTTATAAAAAAGTGAAAGATAGTGGATGAATAAATAAAATATCTGAGTAATACAATCATCTGTCTATAGGGAAATACTAAAATACCCAATTAAGTGTGTCCATTTTTAACCAAAGACTTAACATGAAAAAGAGTAATAAACTATTAGTTGGGAATATGATTCTTTCTATTCAGGTAAGATCACCTCACATTTTGACTGAATGTATTCAGTCCAACACCTAACTAGTTAAATAGCCAGTTTTACTAGTTTCACTGCTTTTCACAGATTCAGTGGATTAGGCATAGGCTAAACCAGCCACATTAAATACTCTGTCACTTTCGTATAACAGAGACATCTTTTATAGTGAGTGTAGTGAGAACAGTGAGTACATAATGAGAATAATCAAAGCATTACAAAGCATAAATTATTTGTCCCTCTTTGGGTTAAAAATAATATGCATATATAAAACATTTCATTATTACTTTTATAGGTTTGGATTTAAGAACCAAAAGGTGTATATTCGTTATTTCTATGTAAAAATATCAATATCTCAATGGCATAAACTAACATCTATTTTTCAGGCCATGAATTCTGCAGGTTATCTGAAGTTCCAATAATCTAGACTGATCTCAGTTGGGACAGGCTGGACTCCAGGCTTTGGTGGGTCCAGGTTTACTCTATTTGTCTCACATCCTCAAACCCAGACTGATGGCATAGCAGCCATCTAGAGCACGCAATGTTTGCGGTAATCAGAGAAGCAAAGAAGGTGAGTACAAACAATTGATGTCTACTGATATCTCAACTAAAATTCAACATACTATGCTTTTATCCACATTCCACTGGCCAAGCAAAATGCATGGCCAAGCAAATCACATGACCAATAGGGCAGGGAATATACTCTGCTGATAACTGAAGGCATTGCAGAGCAACATGAAAAAAAAAAAAAAAAAAAAAAAAAAAAAATATATATATATATATATATGAAGGGATGGAACAAGAGATTGAAACCTCTAGTCTAAACTTTCACAAGGTGAATTAGGTATAACATCTCATGGACTACATTCTGCTTCAATAGAACTTGCAGGAAAATAGACTTGAGATGGTTGCACTTAGACCGAACTCAGGATCAAAAGCACTCATGATCAAAAAGAAAATGAGCCTTTTGGGATATGAGAGCACTTTGACATTACTGTCATTCAGGAATACTAAGCAGAACCACTGCTTTCACTCCCAAATATCCTTGCTGATGCTGAAATTAGTTCAAGCATCACAAGCCAGTTTCTATTATCAGGAAATGAATTATACCAATTGCTAATGAAGTTGGTTTTATTAAAAAGGGTACAGGTATGAACACATACACTTTTCTGCATTATATTATGACCTGTATATTTTAAAGAGAGAGTCTTGCTCTGTTGCCCAGGCTGGAATGCAGCGGCGCCATCTCTGCTCACTGCAACCTCTGCCTCCAAGGTTCAAGTGATTCTTGTGCCTCAGCCTCCCAAGTTGCTGGAATTACAGGTGTGCACCACCATACCTGGCTATTTTTTTGTATTTTTAGTAGAGATAGGGTTTCACCATCTCCTCTACTCCTGCCAGAGATACTAGAAGATATCTTGACTCTTTACAGTGAGAAACTGGCATGATTCCTAAAGGGAAAATCTACAAAATTGTGGTGTACCCCATAAGATTTTCAAGCTAATATGCACTAGCCCCCAGGGTTCTCTCACCCTCAAGACAGTCCACACTCAATCTGAATTTATCAAAATTACCACTTAAAATTTCCTACCAGCTTATGGATCTAGCAGCTCTGCTCCAGGTCGGCAGATCTCACCTGTGACTGTCTGGATTCACCTTTTTCTCCAAATTTTGGTGTAGTCGTTGTCTTTTGATATCACTTCTCCTGTGGGTCCAAGAAAAGATGATTTTCAGTTTGTTCAGCTTTTTTCACATTGTAAAGATGGAACTGATAACTTTCAAGCTGAAATGTGTCAGAGCTGAAACTGAATGGATTAAAATTTGGAAAATAAATTTTAATTTTAAAAAAGAATAAGAAAACCATAATATTTGTAAGCATTTCTTGAAGTAGAAGCAAATAGATTATTCATTAAATTCTCCCATTAATTGTGGTCAACTAAGTTCTGATTTTTTAAAAATCTGCAGTTTTCACAAACCTGTGGGATTCTATCTAGAGAACCAAGGAGCCAGGGGAAAGTGATTCTGATCCAGGCAGCATTTGATCCTGTTTTGTGTAGTCAGCTCATTTCCTTTAAGTGTCTGAACCTGAAGCTAATTAAATCTCCAATAAGTAAGTACAGCATCTTCCCACCAATTCATGAAATACCTGAAAGCCTGCAAAATTTAACATCATAAAATGAGAAACATTCAAAATCTGTTGAATTGGTTCAATATCTCTTTATTCTCTACCTTTTGACCAAGTGGTACAATAATTTCTTTTACCTAATCTCTGTGATTGTGTTTCTCAATATGTTTTCCAGGACCACTGGCATAATCAGATGGACATTTGGTACCCAGACACACTGAACCAAAACCTTTGGGAGTTAATCTACATTTTCAAAACTTCCCATGTAATGATTATGAACATTATAATTTCTCTTTACCACAGGTTCTCAAAATGTGACTCTGGGCCAGCTTGTTTCAGTAAGTCTTCCATGTGATTCTGATGTATACTGGAGTTTGAGAATCGCTGCTTTGTACTGTGGAAATAATTCATTGCTTCTACAAAGATGACCTCCATTTTCCAAAAATCTTGAAACTGTACAGAGTTGTGTTGACTATTTTCAACAAATCATTTTGAACAATCAGAGTGGCAATGTAATACATAATTTGTAATCAATAATCAACAATAGGTTTAATACATGGCTAAATTGTTTTTCCTTCGCTCATCAGAATTAGTCTATCTATAAGGTGATAGGTCCCTGCTTTTATGTTCTATATTTTACTGTATTATTCATCTTCAAAGTACAGAAATGTTAAGTGTTTAACAACATAGAAAACAAATGTTTTCCAACTACATTCAATATAAATTATTTTGGGGGAGAAAGTATAGATGGAAATAAATAAATGTTCATTTAGTGTTTTAATTATTATAAAATAGACAATTCAATATCTTTCAGTTTTCAAAATTTTCAGGAAAATATTATGCATTGAAAAAGATGTGCTCTCCCATATTTCAACTTGCTTTTACCTAAAGGTATATTAATATCCATATAGCTTTAAAAGGATAAAATACTTTTTTAGGTATTATAAAATATTTATGCTCTTAACTATTTAATAAGCCATTTCATTATAAATAAATAAAGTATTTAATGACATAATAGATGAGTTTAAATGAACTATAAAAATGCATGTGATGTAATATTAATTTTTGTTAAATGCAAGTTTCAGTGTTTTTTAATTAATGAGTAAGGAAATGATTTAATTGAAATAGGCTAACACTACATCAAACATGAAGAAACAGAAATTATAATTTTATTTTAGTAGTCCTCATTCCAAGTTGGCACATGAGTCTGACATTATTCCCTGAACTATTCACAGTGTCTATGACAGTCTTCCCTAGCATAGTTTCAAAAATAAAGAAACCATTATAAAATTTTAACTATCACATTTGTTACCATTTTGAAAAGAAAAAAAAATCTATACCTTTATTAGTTAGCTTCTTCTTTAGTCACCCAGTAATGATGCACATTTTTACAACAAAAGCCTGAATACATTGTGAGCTTATGTCTTTAAAGTTATTCTTTCAATACTTCTTGCAGATCAAAGAGCCACTGTATTGAGCATGTCACAAAAAACTCAAAACTGTGAAATTGTCCATTAAAGTTTAATAAAAAGGAAGAATTAAATTTTCAATCCCATCCTATAAGCTGACAGATAGTTAATGTCCAAGGATGTCTATCTAACCTTTGAAACAGCAGAAATATAAAATAGATTTTAATTATGAAATATTAACAACAGAAAGAATATAAGAAAAATTGAATTATGTTAATGGAATAGAAGCAATATCACTTTTTTATGTTTTAAAATGTGTCAACATTTTAGAATAAAGTTTTGTACTTTAATCATATCAAATAAGGTAAGCATGTAGTCATCCTCATGTGAATTTCTCAATTACCCTCAATTTTTTTTCACTAAAATATATCAACACACTCTCAGGGTAGCCTGCAATATGAATAAGGAGTGATAAAAAGTTCATACTATATATAATAGTATTATACTTATGATTTCACTAAAGGATTTTTCTGATTCTATAAATATTCCAGAGCCAAGATTCTAATAATTATATATAGGGAGAGAGGTCTATATTCTAGAAGCAATTAGTTTAGTTCCAGATTTTAGTTTTATGTAATAAAATAATGGGACAATTTTGAGTTAATATTTTAAAAGTTAATAGTGATATTTGTTTTCATTTTATTTTGCAAAGCACGTGCATAATCTGTCTTTAGGTCATTTAGTAGGGAAAGGAGTTGATATTTTTGGCATAAATCCTAAATTCTATCCATAAAAATCTCATGTCTTTCCCATTAAGTACTATGGTATTAGAATTAGTCGATACAAAAGGTATTGTGGTTTTAATATGCTTTCCTCTTTTCTCCCCACAGCCACTATTGAACTAAAAGAATCTATGCTATGGAAGAGATGACCTCTGTTGAGCAGGCAGTAACAAAGGCCATACAACCCAGAGATAGTTAGACAAATCCCCAGAGGATTATACATCTAAGAAGCTTGTAGGAAAGAAAACAGGTAAAAGCTATTAGAAACTAGATAAATACAATAATTATTCATTTTGCTTACAAATCTCACCTTTGGCAGTAAAACCTGAATGAAAGACATAGTCAGGTTAAAAAACAATAATAATAAATATTCCATTTCACCATGCCTTTAAGAAAACTACTAAGGTTGTATAAAAATAATGCATGAACAGAGCATTAGTTTTAATTGTTTGCTTATTTCTCTTATCTTGGAATTCATTTTCTCTCAAATTAACCACAGCAGCTACCTTTCCTCCTCTACAATGACCTTTCCTCCAATCTATCTCTTTGCTACTGTAAAATAATGTGCATTCTATTACTTTTGCTATGCCACCTTAAGGCCTACAATAGATTTTCCATCATTTATATCAATTTTAAGATTTTCATTCTCTACTTTAAATACTTTATACTCAAAGTGTGTCCAAATATATCTCACTTCTGCCACTCTGAAGTAAATATTACTCCTCATAACTTAGAGACACATACTCAAAACTTTCATAGTTCAGATTGCCACCTTTGAACATCCACCAAATGTAAGAAATAACTCTCCTCATAGCCTACCATGCAATATGTCTGTGGTGAATTGATTATACTAATAGCCCTAACTCTTCACATGTCCCTGTATCTAAAAAACACACCTGTATTTAATGAGACATATGAGAAAATTCAGCTAAAATCAGCTGAGTTTAGCCCAGACCAGCAGATGTGCCCAGCCAACTCAAATATGTGAGAAATAACAAACTGCTGTTGGGCTAAGCTTCTACGTTTAGGGATAAAAAGAGGGACAGAGCCTAGACATGCAAATCAGAGCAATTTAATGGAAGGAAAATCTGTCTAGTGGCTACGTTTGGGAGACAATACAACAAATCTGGAAGTCTATGCCATAATTGAACTTAGGTCTATGACCATGGACAAGAAGCAGCTGACCCAGTCAAGACAGGTTATGAACCAAACGATTGTCAGCCTTATAACAATTTAATTTCATGTAGTGCTACATGAATAAAGTGCATAAAAATAAATGTGACTTGCCTGTTCACTCTGATGGTAGTTTCTTTTGCTGTGCAGAAGTTCTTTAGTTTAATTAGGTCCCATTTGTCAATTTTGGCTTTTGTTGCCATTGCTATTGGTGTTTTGGACATGAAGTCCTTGCCCACGCCTATGTCCTGAATGGTAATGCCTAGGTTTTCTACTAGGGTTTTTATGGTTTTAGGTCTAACGTTTAAATCTTTAATCCATCTTGAATTGATTTTTGTATAAGGTGTAAGGAAGGGATCCAGTTTCAGCTTTCTACATATGGCTAGCCAGTTTTCCCAGCACCATTTATTAAATAGGGAATCCTTTCCCCATTGCTTGTTTTTCTCAGGTTTGTCAAAGATCAGATAGTTGTAGGTATGCGGCGTTATTTCTGAGGGCTCTGTTCTGTTCCATTGATCTATATCTCTGTTTTGGTACCAGTACCATACTGTTTTGGTTACTGTAGCCTTGTAGTATAGTTTGAAGTCAGGTAGTGTGATGCCTCCAGCTTTGTTCTTTTGGCTTAGGATTGCCTTGGCGATGCGGGCTCTTTTTTGGTTCCATATGAACTTTAAAGTAGTTTTTTCCAATTCTGTGAAGAAAGTCATTGGTAGCTTGATGGGGATGGCATTGAATCTGTAAATTACCTTGGGCAGTATGGCCATTTTCACGATATTGATTCTTCCTACCCATGAGCATGGAATGTTCTTCCATTTGTTTGTATCCTCTTTTATTTCCTTGAGCAGTGGTTTGTAGTTCTCCTTGAAGAGGTCCTTCACATCCCTTGTAAGTTGGATTCCTAGAAAATTTTCGCAACCTACTCATCTGACAAAGGGCTAATATCCAGAATCTACAATGAACTCAAACAAATTTACAAGAAAAAAACAAACAACCCCATCAAACAGTGGGCGAAGGACATGAACAGACACTTCTCAAAAGAAGACATTTATGCAGCCAAAAAATACATGAAAAAATGCTCATCATCACTGGCCATCAGAGAAATGCAAATCAAAACCACTATGAGATACCATCTCACACCAGTTAGAATGGTAATCATTAAAAAGTCAGGAAACAACAGGTGCTGGAAAGGATGTGGAGAAATAGGAACACTTTTACACTGTTGGTGGGATTGTAAACTAGTTCAACCATTGTGGAAGTCAGTGTGGCGATTCCTCAGGGATCTAGAACTAGAAATACCATTTGACCCAGCCATCCCATTACTGGGTACATACCCAAATGACTATAAATCATGCTGCTATAAAGACACATGAACACGTATGTTTATTGCGGCATTATTCACAATAGCAAAGACTTGGAACCAACCCAAATGTCCAACAATGATAGACTGGATTAAGAAAATGTGGCACATATACACCATGGAATACTATGCAGCCATAAAAAATGATGAGTTCATGTCCTTTGTAGGGACATGGATGAAATTGGAAACCATCATTCTCAGTAAACTATCGCAAGAACAAAAAACCAAACACCGCATATTCTCACTCATAGGTGGGAATTGAACAATGAGATCACATGGTCACAGGAAGGGGAATATCACACTCTGGGGAGTGTGGTGGGGTGGGGGGAGGGGTAGCATTGGGAGATATACCTAATGCTAGATGACGAGTTAGTGGGTGCAGCGCACCAGCATGGCACATGTATACATATGTAACTAACCTGCACAATGTGCACATGTACCCTAAAACTTAAAGTATAATAAAAAAAAAAGAATAGCTAAAAAAAAAAATAAATAAAAAAAAATAAATGTGACTAAAGATAAAAAGAAAAATCTAAATTCACTTATAGGCATAGTTCACATAAGGCCAAATTTAATGTAACTTATGTGTATTTGAATAAATTCAAGAAAAGAACCTATAAAATTGCCTTTTACTCATTTATCCAGTCAACTAATATTAACTGACCACAAATTGGCTGATTTTTCCATTTTAATTTTTTGTTGTTTATTTTTTCTACTTTGATTACCTCAGT